>NC_000023.11:81250420-81553451 GCF_000001405.40 Homo sapiens | reverse complement strand
CAGAAAGATAAAATATTTAAACAAAAGAGATCTAAGATCTTTACACTGACATTTTAAAATCACTGCTTAGAGAACTTAAATAATATACAAATGAATGAAGAGATACTCAATTTATGTGTATGAAGCTTCAAAGTTCTTACGATATAAATTTTCTTAAAAATAAATATAAATAGCAAACACAATCTCAATAATTCCAGTAGGCATTTTTGCTGAAAATAATTTTTTAATATAATTTCAAGTCTTATTTTAGATACAGGGGGTACATGTGCAGGTTTGTTACATAGGTATATTGATTGATGCTAAGGTTTAGGTTATAGACTTCATCACTCAGGTAATGAGCACAGTACCTAATAGGTAGTTTTTCAACCCATGCCCCTGCTCCCTGATTCTAAAATGTATACGTAAATGTAAAGGATAAAGAATAGCCAAAACAATTTTGAAAAAAAAGAGAACTTTACCTGATTCCAACATTTATTATAAAGCTATAGTAATCAAGAAAATATAGTATTTGTATAATGGTAAACATATAGATGTAAGAGACAAGCTCAAAATCCAGAAATAGACCACACATATAAGATCAACTTATTTTTGAGAAAGTTGCCAAACTTACTTAATACAGCAGGAATAATCTTTCAACAAGTCATGTTCCAACAACTTCATATTCAAATAGAAAAAAATTGAACCTTGACCCATTCCTCCAAGTCTGCAAAAAAAATTACTTTGAAAATGGATCACAGATCTAATTTATAGAAGAAAATATAGAAAAAATTGTTACAATTTTGGGGTATGTATTAGTCTGTTTTCACGATGCTGATAAAGACATACCTGAAACTGTGCAATTCACAAAAGAAAGAGGTTTAATTGGACTTATAGTTTCATGTGGCTGGGGAAGCCTCACAATCACAGCAGAAGGCTAGGAAGAGCAAGGCACATCTTACATGAATTGCAGCAGGCAAAAAGAGAGCTTGTGCAGGGAAACTCTGCCTCATAAAGCCATCAGATCTTGTGAGATTCATTCAATATCACGAGAACAGCACGGAAAGGACCTGCCCCCATGATTCAATTACCTCCCACCAGGTCCCTCCCACAGCATGTGGGAATTCTAGATGAGATTTGGATAAGGACAAAGCCAAACTATATCAGTGTATGATATAACTTCTTAGAGATATCACAAAACACACTAACAAAAAAATTTAAATTGAAATTCTTCAAAATGTATAACTCAGTCATTATTAAGAAAATGAAAAGCCAAGGCAAACATTGAAAAAATATTTACAATTTATATATCTGACAAAGGAATTATATTCACAACATACGTAAGAATCTTATAAACTAACAGAAAGATAATGCAACTTTAAAAAGTAAACAAATTTTTTTTAAAAACTTCACAAAAGAAGAAATAAAAATTCCAATAAGCCCCCCAAAAATGCTCAACATAATTAATCATCCAAGAAATGTAAAAAAAAAAAAAAAAGCCACACCAAAATACAACCATACATATATTAGAATGGTTAAAAAAGAGTCTGGCAACCCTAAATGTTGATGAGAATATTGAATTCCTGGAACTCTCTTAAACTATTAGTGGGAATGCATAGTGGTAGAAACAGTTTTGAAAGCATCTGGCAGATTCTTATAAAGTTAAAGATGAACTTACCATAAATCTCAATGATTTCACCTTAACATATTTACCAAAAATATAAGAAAAGATATGTCTGTACTAACAATTGTACATGACTCTCATGACTCTTCATAGTAACTTTAGTCACAATAGATATGAAAACAAATATCAATCAATAGGTGATATGATTTGGCTGTGTGTTCCCACCCAAATCTGATGTTGAATTGTAATTCCCAATGTTAGGGGAAGGGCCTGGTGGGAGGTGATTGGAACATGGGTATGGAATTTCCCCCATGCTTTCCCCGTGATAGTGTGTTCTCAATACCTGATGGTTTAAAAGTATGTGGCACTTCCCCACTCGCTGTCTCCTGCCACCATATGAAGAAGGTGCTTGCTTCCCCTTCACCTTCTGCCATGATTGTAAGTTTCCTAAGGTCTTCCAGTCATGCTTCCTGTTAAACCTGTGAAACTGTAAGTCAGTTAAAACTCTTTTCTTCATAAATTGCCCAGTCTCAGGTAGTTCCTTATAGCAGTGTGGAAATTGACTAAAGCAATGGGTGAATGAAGTAACAAATTATAATATAATCAAGAAATGGAATACAATTTAGTAATAAAAAGGAAGCTACTGCTGATCCAAACCAAACTATGAACGAATCTCACAAACATTTGGCTGGGTGAAAAAAAAGTCAAGTGCAAAAAAAATGTGTATACTATATGATTTCACTTATGTGAAATTCTTTTTTAAAAATCTATGTTTTCTTTTTCATGATTTTTATTGATACATAATAATTGTACATGTGTGTGGGATACATATTATATTTTGATACATACATACAATTTGTAATAATCAAATCATATCAAATAATTAGGATATCCATCACCTCAAGGATTTATCATTTATTTGTGTTGGATACATTCCAAATCTTCTCTTCCTCCTATTTTGAAATATACAATACATTATTCTTAGCTATAGTCAATGTACAGTGCTATCAAACACTGTAATGTATTTTCTCTGACCATATTTTTGCCTCATTAACCAATATCTCTTCACCTCCCTCCTCCCACACTTCCCCACCTCTGGTAACCATCATTCTACTCTCTACATTTATGAGGTAAACTTTTTTATCTTCCACATGAGTGAGAACATGTGATATTTGTCTTTCTGTGTTTGGCTTATTTCACTTATATATATGATTTCCAGTTTCATCTATGTTGCTTCAGATAACAGGATTTCATTATTTGTTGTGGCTTAATAATACTCCATTGTGTGTGTGTGTGTGTGTATATATATATATATATATTTACCATATTTTTTAATAAGTGTGTCTGTTGAAAGACACTAAGTTTGCTTTCGTATATTGGCTGTTGTAAACGGAGTTGCAATAAACATGGAGGTGCAGATATCAAGAAAGATAAATTATTTTCAGAAGTTTTAAATGTATTTTTATTGATACATATTAGATATACATATTTTGGAGGTATATGTGAAAATTTCATGCATTTAAATAATCAAATTAAGATAATTGGGATATTTATCACCTTAAGTATTTATCTTTCCTTTACACTAGGAATACTCAAATTATTATTTTCTAGCTATTTTGAAATGTATAATTGATCAATGTTAACTATAATTACCCTACTGATCCATTGAATGCCAGGTCTTATTTCTTCTGTCTGCATGTATACAAGGTGGCACAGAGATCAGTGATTGCCTAGGGCTGGAAACAGAGGAGATTGACTGGGAAATGGCACTTAGGAAACTTTTGAGATGATGGGCATGTAACAGACATACACACATACATATATACACATACACATATGTCAGTGAAGTACATAAGAATATATTGCATAATATAAAATAACAATAAAGTATAAAATATACATAATATATTATGCATAACATTGGTTATATAATATATATGATTTAATATATTACATGTAGATATAGATTGTGGTGTTGGTTTGCATGAGTATATACATTTGCCAGAAATCATCAAATTGCACAGTACAAAAATGGATGCACTTATTCTACATAAATAAAAGTTCAATAAAGCTGAGAAAAAAATTTTTAATTAATTTGTTTAACAATCTTCATATACAATTGTAAGCAGTAAAAATTTTAAATGTAAAATTAGAAAGCCTAAACTGGTTTCAGAAAATAAAAAACTAAAGAAATTCATTACTAGCAAACCCATACTGAAAAATATCATAATGGGGTTTCATAATTAAAAGGAAATGTACCTCACACACAAGCATTATAATTTAGAAAGGAATGAAGAGTACTGAAAAGTGAATATATGGATAAATCTAAATAAATGTTGATTGCATTTGTGAACCAAAATTATCTGAGACAGGTCTCATTCAATTTAGAAAGTTTGTTTTGTCAAGATTAAGAATGTACCTGTGACACAGCCTTAAGAGGTCCTGATGACATGAGTCCAGGGTGTTAAGGGTACAGCTTGCTTTTACACATTTTAGGGAGACAGCATACATCAGTCAATAAATGTAAGATGTACATTGGTTCGATCTGGAAATGCAGGACAATTTGAAGCAGGGCCTTCCAGGTCATAGGTAGATTTAAAGATTTTCTGTTTGGCAATTGGTTGAAAGAGTTATTATCTAAAGACCTGGAATCAATAGAAGGGAATTTCTGGGTTACAATAAAGAGTTGTGGGAACAAAAGCTTTTCCATGCAGAAGAAGCCTCCAGGTAGCAGGCTTCAGAGATAATATATTGTAAATGTTTCTTATCAGAATTAAAGTCTCTGTTGATATTAATGCTGGTCAGCTGTTCCTGAATTCCAAAAGGGAAGAGACTATAATAAGGCATGTCTGACCTCCCCTTCCTATCATGACCTGAACTAGTTTTTCAGATTAACTTTGGAATGTCCTTTGTCAAGAGGAAGGGTCCATCCAGATGTTTGGGAGGCTTAGAATTTTATTTTTGTTTTACACATAAAATAATTATAATGTAATCAGATATAAAATATATGTAGAATAAAAGTCTATGACAACATTATTAGAAAAGACAGAAAGGTAATAAATAGAGGTCAAAATTTTGTAAGGTCCTAGCATTTCAGGTAGAGATCAGTAAGTCAGGGGAATATTTTATAATCTCTAAGATAACCAATGAAATAATAATATAAAAATTTATTACCATCATACTAATAGATAAGGAATATAAACAACAGCAAGAAGACTGACAACCCGTATCTCCTGATTAAAAATTTGCTAAATAGACAACATTTGCTGAAAGACAAGATACAAATGAGAAGGGAACAAGACAATATTACAATTTTTTTAATAGTAAGATTGTAGACTTCAATCTAAAGATATCAGTTAATACATTAAACATAAAATAACTGGGTTAAAAATATTAGTACTAGTTTCATGATACATAACTATATATATATATATGAGATATTGTGAGATATAGGCAATAAGGACATAGAAAAAAATGATAGTAAAAGCATAGAATAAAATCCAGCATGGAGGAAGAGAAATAGGAGAAGGCAGAAGAGGCAGAGAGAAAGGAAGACAATGGTGATGAGGTGAATGATGATAAAAAGTATTTGACAAAATAAAACAAGAAAAGTAACTCAACCCATCCCCAAAAACTGTTGGAACAAGCATGCAAAAATCAGGATGGTTATAGAAGAGCCAAAGAAAATTATTAAGGATATCGACCTATTTACCACATGTTGAACTCTACAACCAATAACTGCACAATGCACATTATTTTCAAGAAGACATGGACAATAGAAACTTGATAAATTTCTAAAGACAGAAATATTACAAACTGTGTGCTCTATTCTCTGGGGGTTTAAACTAGAGCTCAATAACTAAAATATAACAAGAACATCTCCAAATGTTTGAAAATATGCTTTGCACATTTAAATAACCATGAGGTGAAGAATATACTGCACTTTGTTGTTTCCTTTGCTGCACAGAAGCTTTTCAGCTTGAATCAGTCACATTCGTCCATTTTTGCTTTCATTGTCTGTGGTTTGGAGAATGTCTTACACATAAAACATTTGTCAGACCAATGTCCTGGAGTGTTTCCACAATGTATTCTTCTAGTAGTTTCCTAATTTATTTTCTTAGATTTGTCTTTAAACTGTTCTGATCTGATTTTTGTTTATGGTGAGAGTTACGGGTTCAGCTTCATTCTTCTGCATATGGTTATTCAGTTTTTCCAACACCATTTGTTGAAGAGACTGCCCTTTCTCCATTGATAGATCAGTCAGTTGACTATAGTTGACATTAAACAGTTGTACATTTCAAAATAGATAGAAGAGAATAATTTGTGTCTCTAGCATAAAGAAAGATAAATAATTAAGGTGATAGATATTCCAATTATCATAATTCGATTTTACAAAAGTATCAAATTATCCCACATACCCCGAAAATATGTACATCTAATATGTATCAATAGAAAAATAAATAAAAGTACCCCCCAAGAAGAATATGTTGCAATAATATTCAGAAATATATTTGCCTTAATGACAATAAAAATTTTATATATTACTTTGACGGAGCTGCAGCTGAAATTTTGGGGAAAGTTACAGGCTTAAAAGCATATAGAAATTGAAAACAGTTGCATATCAATTATTATAGCATACATCTCAAGAGAATGGAAAAAACACAGCAACTTAGTTTTTTTAATGTAGAAAAATACAGACAGAATTTATTGAAATGGAAAACAAATATACAGTAGACATAATTTAAACAAATCAGTCATTTTGCAATACAAATAAAATTGATTAGCACCTTATAAGCACCAAAGAGAAAAAAAGGCAAGAACAAATTACTATAAAAAAAGAAAGGGGATATCAGTATCATTATTATAAATATTTTAAAAACTTATTAACAAATGAATGCCAATGAATATGAGAATTCAAGCAAAATGGGCAAATTCTTCTAAAAACAAAAATTAGCAACTGACATGAAAGGAATAAAAAGTTTTTCCTGAAAGAAATAAAAAAGTTTTTCCTGAAATACATTTTTCATCAATATTTTATCAATATTTTATATTTAAGGTTAATATTAAATAATATTTAATAATTTAATATTAATAAAATATAAATGATATTTAATATTAATATTATATAATAATGTCTGTAAATAATGACATTTTGTGTTTTACTTTCAGTCTTAATGATTTCATTTCTTTTTCTGGCCTTATTTTACTGGAAAGAACCTTCAAAAACTACAATGTTTTATAGATTTGATAAAGATATTAAATATTGAAAGATTAGTATTAAATATTAATATTGATTTAAAAATACTGCAAGAAAGATTCAAGAAATTCAGTAATGTAAAAGTTATTTTTTAAATATATTTTTATTACTCATCTACTACTGAAATAAAATCTGCTGAGACATGATGATTGTTCACAAATAGAGTACATTGATTATTTCTACCTTCACTCTATCACATGGGTCATGGTTTATTCCTCTTATTAAAGCTACAGCTGGAAAGCAGTTGTGTGTACACAGTTCCCAGTCTATTTCCCAGTTTTTAGCACTGCAAATTTTCTCCATGAGGGTTGCATTTTCTTGTATTCCAGCACCTGGTTTTCTGATACTGTGAAAAGATGGAGCATATCAAAAACATAATTTCCAGCAAACACCACTACCAGAGTAATCTCAGTCTTTACCCTGGCCTAGAACACTTGTAAGAGCTGTATCTTTCAGGATACAATACACTGACAACAATGTACCACATACACACATGCTAACACACATTCTACACAGTTGTTTTTATTGCTTTCTTGGACTTTTTTATCTGCAAATAGATAGAGAAAAGTGATGAATGGAGGTAAAGATGAACAGTAGTCAGGTCTCTTTCAATATCTTACTTGACACATCCTTGTGCAGAGTCAGGGCAATGACAGTAGAAGAAGGTCAAACCATCTTATGTACTATTAATTAGGCAGACTCTGTTTTATGATCCAAGTCCTGGTTATGCTATGAGATCCACTTTTATTTTACTCACATTTTAATATTAGGTTTTTGGTCTTAATTTTTAATGATATGAACTTTTATTGCAACCTATCAGTAATTTAGTGCAAGGTTGTGAGATAATTTACTAAAGCAACTAGACTGATGCTATTTTAAATCAAAAGTAACCTGTCTCATAGATATAACAAGATTCTCAAAGCAATGAAATGATACTTCTATTCTCATAACAGCACCCACATTCTTACTGCATTGTTAAGCTTGGCTGAGTCAAATGAATTGACAAGTAATGGTCTTTGTAAACAACTAATTCTCAGCACTGGCAATTGAAAACAAGTCAACATATATGCTTTGGTGCTAATTTGAGCCATACTACCATCAAATAATTTCATCATGAAAAGAAAAAAGTTTGTGGCCGTTTAGTTCTTCCCCTTTCCCATAGAAACTTAATCAGATGAGTTCAAATGAAATTAAACTTTATTATTTTTTTCTCACTAAGTGTTAGATTAAGTAGGGGCAATAATTATTTTTTTTCTAAAACCTGAAGGACCAGAGATGACTTGAATACATTCCCTGGAAATTTTAACTACATTGTACTTTGTTACAATCACATAAATATGAATAACAGTCAAGCATAATCCATCATCTGGCATATTTTATAAAGCTAAAGGCTAAATGAGGCTTACCTTTACCATATAAAGTAAATGAGGTAACTGTGCATCAAGTGAGGTCCTTCATATATAATCTTGATAAAGTTTGTGCACTGACTGGAACTGGTGATTCTGAGCTTTCACTGAAGGTTGGTAGTACAAGTAGTATGAAACAAAGAGTAGTATGCTACATTGAGATCATGAAGCATACTTACAACTTTTGTATTTTTTTAACCATTTCCCTAAAAGTATCATGTCTATACTATTTTTCATAATGTTCTATTTCTTCTGATTCTTCCTCTTTTTTCCCCCAATTCCTGCATTCCGATCCACTGTTAAATAGAACGCCACCCATACTTCCCTGCTACCATGCATTTGTTTATGTTGTTCTCCAATGAAAGGTAAACAGGCCTGGCATGGTCATTCATGCCTGTAATTTCAGCATCTTGGTAGGCCAAGGCGGGTGGGTCACTTGGGTCAGGAGTTTGAGACCAGCCTGACCAACATGGTGAAACCCCTTCTCTACTAAAAAATTACAAAAATTAGTTGGGCGTGGTGGTGTGCGCCTGTAGTCCCAGCTACTTGAGAGGTTGAGGCAGGAGAATTGCTTGAACCCGAGAGGTGGAGGTTGCAGTGAGCCGAGATCACATCACTGCACTCCAGCCTGGGCAACAAAGTAAGACCATGTCAAAACAAACAACAAAACAAAACAAAAAACCCACAATGCACACACAAAAAGTGAACGATCTATTTTCAGTGCTCTTAAAATTGCATCTATTTATCTTTTGTAATTGTGTTTACATTTTTATCTCTCCCACTAAAATGTGAACTCATCAAAGCATTTTAATTTTGATAAAGGGAAAGGAGATTGAACTATCAGGGGAAGCAGCCCCCAATATTTCAACATAGGTTTTTTTCTATTTTTCATAAGTAAGTGTCAGCTGGCTGAGAAATAAAGAGAAAGAGTACAAAAGGAGGAATTTTACAGCTGGGCCTCCAGGGGTGACATCACATTTCGGTAGGACCATGATGCCCACCTGAGCTGCAAAACCAGCAAGTTTTTATTAAGGATTTTAAAAGGAGAGGGTGTGCAAGAACAGGGAGTAGGTCACAAGATCACATGCTTCAAAGGGCAAAAAGGAGAACAAAGATCACAAGACAAAGGGCAAAAGCAAAGATCACAAGGCAAAGGGCAAAAGCGGAATTACTGTTAAGGGTCTATGTTCAGCGGTGCACGTATTGTCTTGATAAACATCTTAAACAACAGAAAACAGGGTTCGAGAGCAGAGAACCGGTCTGACCTCAAATTTACCGGGGCGGGGTTTTTCCCTACCCTAGTAAGCCTGAGGGTACTGCAGGAGACCAGGGTGTATTTCAGTCCTTATCTCAACTGCATAAGACAGACACTCCCAGAGCAGCTGTTTATAGACCTCCCCCAAGGAATGCATTCCTTCCCCAGGGTATTAATTATTAATATTTCTTGCTAGGAAAAGAATTTAGCGATATAATCCCTACTTGCACGTCTGTTTATAGGCTGTCTGCAAGAAGAAAAATATGGCTCTCTTTTGCCTGACCCCACAGGCAGTCAGACCTTATGGTTGTCTTCCCTTGTTCCCTGAAAATTGCTGTTATTCTGTTCTTTTTCAAGGTGCACTGATTTCATATTCTTCAAACACACATTTTACAATCAATTTGTACCATTAACACAATAGTGGTCCTGAGGTGATGTACATCCTTAGCTTATGAATATAACAGGATTAGGAGATTAAAGTAAGACAGGCGTAAAAAATTATGAGTATTATTTGGGAATTGATAAATGTCCATGAAATCTTCACAATTTATGTTCCTCTGCCACGGCTCCAGCCAGTCCCTCTGTTCGAGGTCCCTGACTTCCCGCAACAATTGAACCATTGTTGAAAGTTAAATGAATCTCTAACTGAAAATTTGATGATTAACATAGCAATGTGCTATGTAGTTTATGTTAAGGAGAAAATGGAACATATTCTTTACTCTAGTTCTAAAGCTAATGATTAGACAAATTCCTGGAGATTATTTTTTTAAATAGGCACACAGTATGTTCATTTGAAACACAAATAAATTTTCCAAACAAGATGTCAGTGATTTACTTCTTACTGTAAAAGAGCTAAGTTCTTTTCTTTTTAGTCATATGACAAACATTCCACGCAGAGTCACAATAATTCACTAAATAGTCCTCCTGACCCATTGTCCCTTCCAAAGTGCTAAATATTTATATGACATAACATATACACTAGGGAAACCTAATACAATTTAAATGTAGAGTATGGTACAGAAGCTGCTGAAAACTTCACTCAATTTCTCAGCTCTTCATTTTTCTACAGAATTGAAGATCACTGAAGAAACAAAGAGAACAGAAAACAGTGTTCAAAATAATTTATTACCTGAAACAAACTGATAGAAAAAAATTAATTCAAATTCCCCAGAAGCAACATTCTTTTTTATTTCATATTCTCTAAATACAATTTTGCCTATGGCCCAAGTTTTACTTTCATTCTGTTTTTCATGCTTTTGTGTTCTCTCTCCTCCTTGACATTTCTAATTGCATCATCTAGCTAATTTTGTTAATATACCAATTTTGGAAGGGCACCACTGGAATGAAAATGTTAGGAGTACTGAACTTGCAAAGTTACATAAAGGATGGTTTTGACCAGTGATCAATCTATCGCATTGTCCCTCAATTCCCTACGTAAAATAACTTAAGCTTCCTACAAGTACTTTCTTTGTTGTTGTTGTCTGCATCACTATGGCAGGCTATTTAACACATCTATAATCTCAAACACTGATCATTTCTTTGTGGTGAGAACATTTGTTAGTTGGCCTAGCTGCAGTACATTCCTCCCTCCAAAAAATTTGTTTGTTCTTCTGTCAATTATAGCTTTTGAAAGGTTAAATTTAGGGCAAAATAAACCATTGAAAAACTTTCCAGAAAAAAAAAATCTGTTTTATAGATTTAACATTAATACCTTGGAGATATTCTGAGAAAATGCAGAGTAAACGTGTGTGTGTGTGTGTGTGTGCGTGTGCGTGTGTGTGTGTGTGTGTGTGCGTGTGTGTGTGTGTGTGTGTGTACAGGTAACAGTTTTGTGAAAAACAATAAAATATTTTGAAATAACATGGGTAGCAAAATTTGATAGATGCATTAATATATTCAAAATCTAACAAAACTTGTATACTACATAGCATGGTGACTATAGTTAATAATGTATTGTACATTTCAAAATAGGTAAAAATGGATTTCAAATATTCTCACCACAAAGAAATGATAAGTATTTGAGATTATACATGTGTTAATTAGTCTAATTTGATCATTTCACAATGTATATATGTATCAAACTATCACATTTTGCCTCATAAATATGTACAACTATTATTTAATTGAAAATAAAACTTTGAAAAAAACCTACAAATTGGCAAAATAATACCAAAGACCAATTTAACAAAATATTATAAGCCTTATTTAAGGAAGGTCTCACATATTCTAGGTCATAATAAAACTCTGAGAAAATCAAGTAATTTGAGCAGTTCCTTAGAGTTCATTTTACTGAAATGTTACTTACAGTTTAAACACTGAGAGATTTCTTATAATTTCAATATAATTTATAAATTGTATATTACATAAATATGTATATATTTTGTTTCAGACTTTAGAATGTTTTTTCATTATCTGATTTTCTCTTTAAATCCTTAATAAATAAATAGGCAAAAATTGTGGCTCAGGAAGATAAATTGACTTAGCCAATGGCAGAAAACAAGCAATTGGAAAAGCTTTATGATACAGTTCTCTTGACTTCTAGTTCAGTGTTCTATTGCTTCTCTGTTTCTCTAACAAGTATGAGAAAACAGAACACTGGTGACTCCCACTCAGGAAAATTTGTTATGCAGTAATTCTTTTAAGCCAATATTATGAAAACTATACGTCAAATGCCATGACCTGTGGTTTAAATTGGCAGCTGCTGATGTGGATATGGCAAACAATTAAATAATGCACTGAAGGAAAACACACACCAACACACCATCTAATTCAAGCATGTTCCCTTTCATCCCTTAAAATTTGACCTATTCTTTTTTCTCACCCCCAAGCCTTTGTTTAACTGCACTGCATACCCCACCCTCATGCTAAAATATCAAGTGTCTGTTACACTACATCTATTCCCTTAAAGTAAAACTGGAAGTCATTATTTCTGGCAAAATTTTTATTTCAAATATATATCAGTAATTTATTAGATCCTTGGCACAATGCCCATATTACTTTTATGGCATTCATAGTTTGCATTGGATTAGAGTAATTTACATATATTCATATTTCCCAATGGACTATGAGCAGCATGATAGTTTATTAATCATTCAGATAACCCTCAGCGATCAGTACAATCTTTGCATATATTATATGATCTATAAATATTTTTTAATTTAATTTATTTTTATTTTTATTTTGTGGGTATATAGGAAGTGTATATATTTATGCAGTACATGAGATATTTTGATACAGGCATGCAATGCATTATAATCACATAAGGGTAAATGAGGTATTCATTACTTCAAGAACTTATTCTTTCTTCATGTTAGAAAAAAATCCAATTATACTATTTAGTTATTTTTAAATGTGCAACAAATTATTTTTAGCTCTAGTCACCCTGTTGTCTTATCAAATACTAGATCTTATCCATTCTCTCTATTTTTGTACCCATTAACATGAAAAATCACATAACTCTATCTCTCCAGGATTTCTCCCTGGTAATTTAGTTCATTTGGTGAGGTCATATTTTCCTGGATAGCCTTGATGCTTGCAGATTATTACTGGTGTCTAAGCATTGAAGGTATTTGCTTTACTCATTGCAGTCTGGGCTTGTTTATTCTTGTCCTTCCTGGGAAGGATTTCCAGGTATTTGAAGGGAACTGGGTGTGATGATCTAAGTTTTTGATATCTTCACCCATGTATGCATTAAGGGACATCACAAGCTCAGTAACTCTGTGGCTCTTGCAGACACACAGAGGTACTACCTTGGTAGTCTTGGATAAGATGTGTAAGAATTATCTGGATTACCAAACAGAGACTCTTTTTTTCTTCTCTTACTTTCTTCCAGTAAAACAGAATCTCTCTCTCCCTGTGCTGAGCTGCCTGGAGCTAGAGGAGGAGTGGCCACCACTCCTGGGACTGTGCTAGGTCACGCCAAAAGCCAGCCCACCACTCAATCTCATCCAAGACCCATACTAACTACTGCCTGGTTTGTATGTTTGCTCAAGGCTCTAGGGTTCTACAATGAGGAGGTGGCAAGGCCAGCCAGCCTTGCGTCCTTCCTTTCAGGGCAGCCAGTTCCCCTAGTCCCAGGTGGGTCCAGAGACGCCATACAGGAGCCAGGGCATGGAGACAAAAGCCTGAGGAATCTACCTTGGTGCAGCTAAGCTGGCACTCCAGCCACAAAAGAAAGTCATTCCCATTGTTCTGTCCACTTTCCACAAGTAGAGGAGTCTCTGTCCATGGCTGCCACCACTCCAGGCCTGTGGTGAGTACTGCCTGAATACCACTGATGTTCATTCAAAAACCAAGGGCTTTTCAGTCAACTTGTGATAAATGCTGCCAGGCCTGGGACTCTCCCTTCAAGGCAGTGGGCTTTCTCCCCTCTGGCCTAGGGTAGATCCAGAAATGCCATCAAAGAGCCAAGGTTTGAAATCAGAAACTCAAAGAGCCCACTTGGCGCTCTATGCCACAGTAGCCGAGCTGGTACCTATGTTGCAAGACTAAGTCCCCTTTACTCTTTCCTCTTTTTTCTCAAGCAGGAAGAAACTCTCCTCATAGCCATCACAACTGGGTATATACTGGGTCATACCTGAAGCCAGCACATCTCTGAATTTCATCCAAGGCCCATGGTGAGTACTACGCGGATACTATTGCTAATTGTTCAAGGCCTAAGGCCTCTTTAGTCAGCAGCTGATTAATCATGCCAAGACTGGGTCTTTCCTTCCAGGCAGTGGGTTTCTTTCTGGCCCAGTGTATCTAGAAATGGCATCCAGAAGCCAGGGACTAAAAGGAGGGCCTCAGGGCTCTGCCTGTTGCCCTATCCTACTGTGGCTGAGCCGGTATTCAAGTAGCAAGACAAAGTCCTCTTTAGTCTCCCCTCTCCTCAAGTAGAAGGAAGGATTCTCTCATGGAGCTATAAGCTGTGGTGCCTAGGGTTGGGAGAAGTGTGGCACAAGCACTCCCTTGGTCTCCCTGGTTGGTGTCTCACTAGGTTGCATGCACCTCAAGTACACTGGCTTTGAGCTCAGCACAACACTAGAACTTGACCAGGAATTGCAGTCTTTGTGGTCTTGACTGCCTTTCAAGTGTATTTAGAACACCAGAGCACATTAGCCTGCAGCAGTGAGCCTTGCCAGAACTCAGGTTCCAACGCAAACTATGAAATTCCTTTTTGATTAGGGCTGGTCTAAATGCACTATCATCTATGGGTGCTGTCTAAATTCTGCCCTGTGTTGCTTTTCTCTGTGTCAGGGCAGCACCAAGTTCCAATGTGAAGTCCCACAATCACTTCATTTTCTCTCCGCCAAGCACAGAGCTTCTCTCTCAGCACCATATGGTTGCTACCAGGGGATGGGATCAGGGGTGGCATTAGCAATTTAAGACTGTCTTTCCTACCCTCTTCAGTGCCTCTTTCAGTAATATGAAGTTAAAATCAGGTACTGCAATCACTCACTTAATTTTGGGTTCATATATAGGTGCTTTTTTGTGTGGATAGTTGTTAAATTTGGTGTTCCTATGGGGAGAACGATTGTTGGAGGCTTCTATTCAGCTATCTTGCTCCATCTCCTACCAAACATTTGTTTTTTAAAATATCAGACTTGAGGAGATAAGATGGCTGACAAAATACAGTCAGAAAGCACTGCTCCCACTGAGAGAGCCCACATTATCAAGTAAATCACCATACTTTGAGCAGACCTTCAGAGAAAGAAACCACTGAGAATGAACAAAAATGCAATGGTGAAGCCCACGCTGAAGGAGGGGGAAGCTGGGATCCCCTGACAGGATACCCAAAAGGCAGGGCTAGTTCCTGGCCCTGAGTAAACCTTGGGAAAGTGGTGAGTGAGAGAACTGAGGGAAAGCTGGCTTTCACTATGGACCTCTGAGATCCTAGTCACAATGGACCCTGTGTCCCCCAGGGACACATGATCTGGCAGAGACAGGCCTTCAGATGGCATGGAGTAAGGGAGCTTTTGTGCACTGATAAGCTTCATTGGAGAGCAGCCATAGACATACATACCCAGGGCTTCCTGTCTAACTCCAAGAGGCACAGGGCCCAGCTGACCCTCGAGCCAGTGAGATTGGAGCCGGTTTTCCTGTGGGACTGTGGCACATCTGTTCTGCAAGTCCTATTGCTCACCAGCCCCTCCGAGGTTCCATGCCTAGCTGCCTTGCAGGAGTGGGTGCACAGCTCAGATTGCACAGCACAGACTGAGTGCACTGCTGTACCTGAGTACTTTCTTGGTGACCCAGGAATAAATCAGATTACACCACAGCAGTATGAACTCAACCCAAGCTGTGAGACATCCAGTACCCCCAGGGCTGCAGCAAAAAGCTCAGGAGTATGGAGCCGAAATCTGTAGCCAGCACTCGGGCATGGGAGGAACGTCACCCTTACAGCACTGAGAGGGATGAGACACATTGGCTCCTGAACTGAGTGGGAGCAGGGCATACTTCCTTCCACATGGCCAGTCCAGTCCACAAAAAGTGTGGCATATTTCCCAGCCACAGCCTCTGCCCAAGGTGGACCTGCGCCTTGAACACCTAATGAAAACAGCCGCATGGTTGGGTATTAGCCTAGATACCAGCCATTACTCTTAAGTGCCATCTACTGGGTCACAGACCAAACTATAGCACCAGAAATTTATCCTACTAAAATATACACCTGAGAAAAACAAGCGCAAATATTCACCCACACATATTCTTTACAGAGCCCTTGTTCCCTGAAAGCATCCGGAAATGAAGCCAAATGACTATACTCAATTTGTGCTACATTAAAGGAACATCAGTCTTTCCAATTGAGAATCAGTACAAGAACACTGGCAAGCCAACAAGCCAGAGTGTCCACTTACCTCAAAACGAGCCACTAGCTTCCCAGCAGTGGTTCTTAACCAGTCTAAAATGACTGAAATGACAGAGAATTCAGAATATGGAAACCAAGGAAGCTCATCGAGATTCAAGAAAAAATTGAAACCCAATCCAAGGAATCCAAAAAATCAAGTAAAATGATCCAAAATCTGAAAGATAAAATAGTCATTTTGAGAAAGAACTAAACTGAAATATTAGATCTAAAAAAGTCACTACAAGAATTTTATAATATAATCAGAAGTACTAATAGTGGAATAGACCAGGCTGAGGAAAGAATCTCAGAGCTCAAAGGCCAGTTCTTTGAATCAACTCAGTCAGACAAAAATGAAGAAAAAAAATTAATGAACAAAAGGGTTAAGGTCAAGATGGCTGACTAGAAGGAGCTAATGTGCACTATTCTCATGCAGAGGAGATAGGGTGGCTAGTAAACATGAGCTTTTCAATGGGATCATCCAGGAGGACACATTGGGATTCATCAAGGCAGTATCATGACTCACAGAGATCAGAGAGGATGAAGACCGGATAGCTGCCTACCCAGGAATGACATGGAGCCCAGGGAGGCTCCTAACCATGGGGAAATACTGAGTGAGCAAGAGACCCAAGAGACTCACACTTCTGCCATAGACCTTTGCAATCCTGGAAACAGGAGATCTCCCCTGACCCCCTTTCCCTGGGACATCCAGACTAACATGGAAAACTGTGTGGAGTCTGGGAAAGGTCACCACTCAGGCCCACATAAAGTCCCAAGGGCCTTGGACTCTTAAGTATTCTGGCATCTGCTACCATAGCTTCTCTGACAAGGGATGCCAGGCTTCTTGCACGGTCCAAGGATAGGAGCTGCATCCACAGTACTAAGAAGAAGACAGACTACAGGCCTTGTCTCTGCTACATATTGCCAGGCAAACCCCACTGTCCTGAAACCCCAGCATAGCCACCACACCCTCATCAGAATACTTGAGCCAGTAGCAGCTCTGCATTTATCTGGGACAGAACTCCCAGAAGTCACCAACTGGTCTGCCATTTTTGCCACTGCCACAGCCCCACCCTTACTGCCTTCAAGCTGGGAAGAGAGTGAAGAACCCAAGAACTATCATGGGCCTCTAGCACACCACAGCTGCATTATGAAAAAGTAGCCAGACTATTTTCCATGCGGGTTCCTGCTCCCAACTGCTCCTCAATGGGCACGACCTTCTGACATGGGCCTACAACATAGCAGCCCTGCATCGAGCTTATCACTTCAGTCAGTGGCACCTCTGCATTTCTATGGGAGGAAATTCCAGAGACAATCTACAGACTCTGCCATCGCCACTGCAGTGGTACTGCCCTTGCTGTCCTTGGGGAAGGAACAATGAGCCTGATGGCTTTCATTGCACTGACAGCATGCCACAGCTCCCATACTGGAGGCCAGTCTCTCCTCTCTCTGAGCCTCTGAATCCCTGCTCTTCATTAGGCAGGTCCCCTGGCTTGGGTCAGCAGTGCAGATGCTCAGATCCTTCAGCTGAACATTTGTATTAGTAGTGGCTTCATATCTCCCTGGGATGGAGTTCCCAGAGATAACTGACAGCCCCTCTGTCACTGATGCTGCAGCAGTATCCACCCTTTCTGCCTCCAGGCTGTGGAAGCGACAAAGAGCCTGAGTTCTTTACTCAAAATCCGTATGCCACAGCCATCCTATAGAGACTGTCTTCCCCATGAGTCCACCACCCCACATTCTTTTCACCAGGCAGAGTCCCCCATCTTGGGCAAGCAATGCAGACACCCCACCCCAGGCTGATTATTCTAATTGGCAGCAGTTTTGCATTTCTCTGGCGTTAAGCCAATGTGCACTCAACGCTGCAGTACCCAGAGTCATAAAACAGGCTCTTAGAGATTTATGAAGAGACTTAGATAACCACACAATAATAGTGGGAGACTTCAACAGCCCACTGACAATATTGAATGATCATTGAGGAAGAATACTAAGAAAGATATTCTAGACCTGAACTTGATACTTGACGAAATGGATTCAACATCCATCTAAAGAACACTCTACCCAACAAAAACAGAATATATATTCTCATCGGAGAGAGACAAGAGTCAAGTGAAAGGGTCTCTGTCATTGCCACTGACAAGGTCCCCAACCATGCAACCCTTAAGATGGTAAGTGAATAAAAAGTCTGAGCCTGACCCAGGGCTGAAATGTGCAGCCTGGGAGTGCCAAGCCAAGATGTGTGGCCAGCACTTGAGAGGGAGAGGAGCCTACACACTCAGAGCACTGAGAGGGTGCAGGGATGCAACATGAAGAAGTAACAAGGAGTCACATGGCAGTGTAAGAACCTATCTATCAGGAATTACACTTAAGTGCCAGCTACTAGGTAGCAGCTCAAACTTCAATAATGAAAATACTATGTTAAGACATCCTCCCTGTCAGACCAAGGAGAAGAATTCAGCCACAAATAAAGAGCCTACACAAAGCCTCAGCCCTCTGAAAACATCCAGAAATGAAGCCAACTGAGTATAATCAAATTACATCACAGTTAAAAGAACATCAGCCCACACAGATGAGAAACAACCAGGGCAAGAATTCTGGCAACTAAAAGCCAGTGTGTATCCTTACCTCCAAACAACTCCACTGGATCCACAGCAATGCTTCTCAACCAGAATGAAATGGCAGCTACTACAGACACAGAATTCAGAACCTGGATGACAACAAAGATAATTGATATCCAGAAGTAAGTTGCAACCCATTCCAAAGAAATATAAGGAATCCAATAAAATGATTCAAGAGATGAAAAACAAAATGGTTATTTTAGGAAATAACCAGATTTGAGCTCATGAAACTGAAAAACACACTACAGTAATTTCATAACACAATTTATAGCACTAGCAACAGAATAGACCAACTGAGGAAATAATCTCAGAGTTCAAATACCACTTTTTGCATTAACTCAGTCAGATAAAAACAGAGAAAATATAATTTGAAAAAAAATGAACAAAATGTCTGAGAAATATTGGATTATGTAGAGACTAAATCTATCACTTGTAGAGGTCCAAGAGAGAGAAAGCAGAGCAGAGGGAGAGAGAGCATGAAAGCAACTTGGAACAAATATTTGAGCATATTGTCCATAAAAATGTTTACAACCTCACTAGAGAGGATCGCACCCAAATTCAGAAAATTTAGAGAAACCCTGGGAGATACTAAACAAGACAACCACCCAAAATGCACAAAGACCCATAGTCATCAGATTCTCCAACGTCAAAGTAAAAGAGAAAACATTAAAGGCAGCTAGAGAGAAGGAGCAGGTCACCTACAAAGGGAGCCCCATCAGGATAACAGCAGACCTCAATCCCACAAGCCAGAAAAGATTGAGGGCCTATATTCAGCATCCCTAAAGCAAAGAAATTCCAACCAAGAATTTCATATCCAGTGAAACTAAGCTTTATAAACCAAAAAGAAATAAAGTTTTTTCACACAAGCAAATGCTGAGGGAATTTGATACTGACAGACCTATCTTACAACAGTTCCTTAAGGGTGTGCTAAGTATGAAGAAAAAAAAGACCATTACTGTCCACCCCTAAAAACACACTCAAGTACATAGACGATTGACACTATAAAGCAAATACACAAACAAGACACGTAACAATCAGCTAACAACATGAGGACAGAATCAAATCTGCAAATATTAATATTAACCTTGAATAAAAACAGGCTAACCACCTCTCTGAAAAGGCACAGAGTGGAACATTGAGTAAAGAAGCAAGACCCAACTGTACACGGTCTTTAAGATACCCATCTCACATGAAAGAACAACCATAGACTCAAAGTAAAGGGATGAGAAAAGATTTATCAAGCAAACATAAAACATAAAAGTGCATAGGTTGCTATTCTAATTTGAGAGAAAACAAGCATTAAACCACAAGAATCAAAAAGGATAAAGAAATGCATTACTTAGTGATAAAGAGTTCAATGCAACAAGGTGACTTAAATATTCTAACTATATATGCATCCAGCATAGGAGCACCCAGATTCCAAGATTTTTGAGATGTATGAAGAGACTTAGTCATGCAATAACAGTGAGAGACTCTAACACCCCACTAACAGTATTAGACAGATGATTGATACAGAAAACTAACAAAAATATGTGGGACTTAAGGTTAACACTTAACCAAATAGACCTAATAGACATCTACAGAAATCTCCAGCCCAAAACAACAGAATATACATTATTCTCATCTGCACATAGCAGAGACTCTAAAATCAAACTCACACTCAGCCATCAAGCAGTTTTTTTTAACTTTTACTTCAAGTTCAGGGTTACAAGTGTAGGTTTGTTACATAGGTAAACTTGTGCCATGGGGGTTTGTTGTATAGATTACTTTATAACCCAGGTATTAAGCCTAGTACCCATTAGTTTTTTTTTTATTCTCTTCCTCCTCCCAACCTCCTCCCTCCAAAAGGCAGCAGTGTGTGTTGTTCCCCTCTGTGTCCATGTGTTCTCATTATTTAGCTCTCACTTACAAGTGAGAACATGCAGTATTTGGTGTTCTGTTCCTGTGTTAGTTTACTAAGAATAATAGCCACCAGCTCCATCTATGTCCCTGCAAAGGACATGATATCATTCTTTTCACAAAACACTTTTCTACAAATTAAAAAAATGAAATCATAGCAACCACACTCTCAGATCAAAATCTTACAAACCACACTCTCAGTTCAATAAAAAAAGAAATAAATACCAAGATCTCTCAAAATCATACAATTAAATGGAAATCAAACAAACTGTTCCTAAATGACTTTTGGGTAAACAATAAAATTAAGGCAGAAATCTAAAAATTCTGTAAAACAGATGATAAAAAACATAAAACATTCCAGAATATATGGGACACACTTAAAACACTGTTAAAAATAAAGTTTAAAGTACTAAATGCCCACATACGAAATTTACAAATACCTCAAATTAACAATCTAACATCACACCTAAAGGAGTTGGAAAAACAAGAGCAATCTAACCTCAAAACAAGCAGGATAAATGAAAAAACTAAAATCAGAGCTAAATTGAACAAAATTGAGATGTGGTACAAAAGATCAACAAAACCAAAAATTGTGGTTTTATTGAAAAAAAAGATTGCTAGCATTCTAGCTACACAAATAAAGAGAAAAAAGAGAATATCCAAATAAACACAATCAGAAATGAAATAGGGGACATCACTACTGACCCCACAGAAATACAAAATACACTCAGAGACTATTATGAACACCTCTATGCACTCTAATTAGTAATCCTAGAAGAAATGTATAAATTTCTGTGAACACACAACCTCCCAATAATGAAGCAGGAAGATATTGAAACCATGAACACACCACTAATTAGTTTTGAAATTGAATCTGTAATAAAAAATCCTACCAACCAGAAAAGGCAATGGACCAGACAGATTCACAGCCAAACTCTACCAGACAAATAAAGACCTGGTACCAACCCTGTTGAAACTATTCCAAAAAATTGAGAATGAGGGAATCTTCCCTGACTCATTCTATGAGGCCAGCATCATTCTGACACCAAAAAACTGGCAGAGTCATAATGAAAAAAAATTCAGGTCAATATCCTTGATAAAAATATATGCAAAAGTCCTCAAGAAAATACAAGCAAACTGAATCCAACAACACATCAAAAAGCTAATCCACCATGATCAAGTAGGCCTTATCTCTGGAGTGTAAGGTTGTTTGGACATACCCAAATCAATAAATGTGATTCATCACAGAAACAGAACTTAAAAAAAAGCAACATGATAATCTCAATAGATTAGATTAGAAAAGGCTTTCCATAAAATTCAACGTCCGTTCATATTAAAAATGGAAAATCCTAGGCATTGAAGGTACATACCTCAAAACAATAGGAGCCATCTATGAAAAACCCACAGCCAACATTATACTGAATAGATGAAAGCTGTAAGCATTCCCTTGGAGAAGTGAAACAAGACAAAAGTCCCCACTCTCACCATTCCTCTTAAACATAGTACTGATGGCCCTAGCCAGAACAATCAGGCAAGAGAAAGAAAGCAAAAGCATCCAAATAGAAAGAGAAAAAGTTGAACTGTCTCTCATAGCATATAATTCTATATCTAGAAAACTCCATAGTCTTTTCCCAAAGACTCCTAGATCTGATAAACAACTTCAGCAAAGTTTCAATATAAAAAATGCATGTAAAAAATCAGGCCGGTCATGGTGGCTCACGCCTGTAATCCCAGCATTTTGGGAGGCCAAGGCAGGTGGATCACCTGAAGTTTGGAGTTTGAGACCAGCCTGACCAACATGGAGAAACCCCGTCTCTACTAAAAATACAAAATTAGCCGGGCATGGTGGTGCATGCCTGTAATCCCAGCTACTCGGGAGGCTGAGGCAGGAGAATCGCTTGAACCTAGAAGGCAGAGGTTGCGGTGAGCCGAGATCACCCCATTGCACTCCAGTCTGGTCAACAAGAGGGAAACTCCACCTCAAAACAAAACAAAGTCAGTAGCGTTTCTATACACCAATGATGTCCAAGCTCAGAGCCAAATCAAGAATGCAATCCCATTCACAATAGACATAAAAAGAATAAAATGCCTAGAAATACAGTTAAATTGAGATGTTAAAGATCTCTTAAAGAAAAATAACAAAGCAACACTGCTGAAAGAAATCAGAAATGACACACACAGCTGGAAAAATATTTCAAGCTCATTGATAGGAAAAATCAATGTTGTAAAAGTGATCATACAGCCAAAAGCAATTTACAGATTCAATGCTTCTCCTATCAAACTACCAATAATGTTGTTCACAGAATTAGAAAAAAATTTCTAAAATTTATTTGAAACCCAAAAAGAGCCCAAATAGCCAAAGCAATCCTAAGCAAATAGAACAAAGCTGGAGGTATCACACTACCCAGCTTCAAACTATACTACAAGAATACAGTAACTAAAACAGCTTACTACTGATAAAAAACAGACACATAGAATTATGGAACAGGTTAGAGAACTCAGAAATTAAGCCACACACCTATAACCATCTGATCTTTAACAAAGTTGAGAATAACAAGCAATGGGAAAATGAATCCCTATTCAATAAATGGTGATGGAATAACTGGCTAGCCATATACAAAAGATTGAAACTGGACCCTTACATTTCATCATATACAAAATCAACTCAAGATGGATTAAAGACTTAAATGTAAAACCTAAAACTATAAAAACCCTAGAGGAAAACCTAAGAAAGACCACTCTGGATATCAGCCCTGGCAAAGACCTCATGACAAAGACTACAAAAGCAATTGCAACAAAAACCAAAATTGAGAAGACATAATTAAACTAAAGAGCTTCTGCAAAGCAAAAGAAATTATACACAGGGTAAAAAGACAACCTACAGAAGTTGAGAATATATTTGCAAGTTATACATCTGAAAAACATCTAATATCCAGATATCCAGAATCTATAAGTAACTTAAGCAAATCAACAAGCAAAAAAAAAAAAAAAGAAAGAAAAAAGAAAAATTACTAATGGGTCAAGGACATGAACAGACATTTCTCAAAAGAAGACATTCACGTAGCCAACAAGCCTATAAAATAATATGCAACATCACTAATCACAAAACCACAAAAATATATAGCCTCACACCAGTCAGTATAGCTATTATTAAGATGTCAAAAAATAAAAGATGATAGTAAGGTCACAGATAAAAAGGAATATTTATACAGTGCTAGCGGGAATATAAATTACTTCAGCCACTGTGAAAAATAGATTTCTCAGAGAACTTAAAAGTGAACTACCATTAGACCCAGCAATTCCACTGCTAGCTACATACCCAAAGAAATACAAATCATTCTACTAAAGACACATACACGTATATGTTCATCACAGCACTATTCGTAACAGCAAAGACATGGAATCAACCTAGATGCTTATCAACCGTGGACTGAATAAAGAAAATGTGGTACATATACACAATGGAATACTACAGATTCATAAAAAAGAATGAAATTGTGTCATTTGCAGCAACAATGGAGCTGGAAGCCATTCATCTAAGCAAATTAACCCAAAAACAGAAAACCAAATACTGCATGTTCTCACTTATAAGTGGGAGCTAAACACTGAATTTACATGGACTCAAAGGGAACAATAGACACTGGGGCCTACTTGATGGTTGACGGTGGAAAAAGGGTGAGGATTGAGAAACTACCTATGGGGTACTATGCTGACCACCTGGGTGACAATATTTTCTGTACACCAAAACCCCATGACATGCAATTTACCCATGTAACAAACCTGCTCATGGACCAGTTAAATCTAAAACAATAGTTGCAATGAAATAAAAAAATAAACAAAACCTCTGAGATGTATGAGATTACATAAAGAGACCAAATCTATGACTCATCAGCATTTCTGAGGGAGGAAAAAAAATTACCAACTTGAAAATGTTTGAGGACATATTTCATGAATATTTTTCTAATCTTCATAGAGTTTGACATGCAAATCCAACTAATAGGGAGAACCCTGGCTAGACACTATGTAGGATGACCATCCACAAAGCACATAATCATCAGCTTCATGAAAGAGAATGCAAAAAAACAAACAAAAGTCTTAAAGGCAGCTAGAGAAAGGGCCAGGTCACATAAAAAGGGAGTGCCACCAGGCTAGGAGAAAACTTTTCAGCAGAAACCTTACAAGCCAGAAGAGATTAAAGATCAATTTTCAGTGTCCTTAAAGAAAATAAATTCCAACTAAGAGTTTCATATCCTGCCAAACTAATTTTCATAAGTAAGGGAGAAATAAAGCTCTTTTCACACAAGCAAATGCTGAGGGAATATGTTTCAACTAGACCAGCCTTACAAGAGGTTCTTAAGAGAGTGCTAAACAGGGAACAAAAATAATGACACCTGCTACCACAAAAGCACGCTTAAGCACATAGCTCACAGGCACTATAAAGTAACTATGCAATCAAGTCTACATAACAACCAGCTAACAACATGATGAGAGGATTAAAATCACACATATCAATACTAACCTTAAATGTAAATGGGCTGAATGCCCTGCTTGAAAGACATAGAGTGGCAGGCTGGAAAAAAAGAAAAGACCCAACCATCTGTTATTTTCAAGAGACCCATCTCACTTTTAATGACACCCGCAGGCTAAAAGTAAAAGGATGGAAAAAGATCTACCATGCAAATGGAAAAAAAAAGAGCAGAAGTTGTTATTATATAAGATAAAGTAGGTTTTAAACAAATAAAAAATAATACAGATAAAGCAGAACATTACATAATAAAAAAGGGTACAATCTAACAAGAAGCCCTAACTACCCTGAATATATAAACATCCAACATTGGAGCATCCAGATTTACAAAACAACTTCTCGGCCTACAAAAGGAATTAAAGAACCACAATAATAGTGGGAGACTTCAACAACCCACTGATAGCATTAGACAGATCATTGAGGCAAAAGAAACTCTAGATTTAAAGTCAACACTCGACCAATTGGACTGAATAGACATCTACAGAACACTCTATCAAACAACCAAAAAATATACATTCCTCTCAACTGCATATGGAACTTATTTTAAAATTGACCACATGCTCAGTCATAAAGTTTTCTTAAACTCAATAAGTTCAAAAAAATTGAAATCATACCACACATATCCTCAGACCACAATGCAATTAAAATAGAGATCAACGTCAAGAAGATATACCAAAACTACAGACATACATGGGAATTAAACAACTTGTTCCAGAGTAACTCCTTGGTGAACATCAAATTAAGGTAGAAGTAAAAAAATATATATGTGACAATGATGAACATGTGATCATAAGTTACCTAAATCTTGAGGATACAGCAAAAGCAGGGTTAATTTGTAAGTTTATAGCTGTAAACACCTTCATCAAGGAGTTAGAAAGATCTCAAATTAACAAGCTACCCTTGCACCTAAAGAAACAGAAATAAAAGAACAAGTCAACCTCAAAGCTAGCAGAGGAAAAGAAATAACTATAATTAGAGAACTGAATGCTGTTGAGATGCAAAAATCCCTATGAAAGACCAATGAAACCAAGAGTGGGTTCTTTAAAACATGAATAAGATTGATGATATATGTCTAGCTAGATTAACAAAGAAAAAAAGAGAGAAGACTCAAAAAGTACAATCAGAAATGACAAAAATGACAGGACAACTAATCCCACAGATATACAAAAGATCCTTCTGGAAAACTATTAACAAACTTGTGCATAGTAATTAAAAAATCCGTGAGAAAGGGATAAATTCCTGAAACACAGTCTGTCCATATTGAATCAAGAAGAAACTGAAACACTGAATAGACAAATATTGAGCTCTGAAGTTGAATCAGTAATAATAAAAACCTACCAACGCAAAGAAGCCCTGGAACAGATGGATTTACAGCAAAATTCTAACAGGCATACAAAGAAAAACTGGTCCAAATCCTACCGAAACTATTCCAAGAAATGGATGAGGAGGAGCTCCTCCCAAACTCCTGTGAAGCCAGCATCAGCTTAGTATCAAAATCTGGCAGAGACGCAATAAATAAAGAAAACTTCAGACCAATATCTCTGGTGTACATAGATGCAAAAATACACAACATAATACTAGTGAATTGAATCCAGAACCACATTAAAAAGCTAATTTCCCATGATCTAGTAGGTTTTATTCCTGAGATCCAAGGTTGGTTCAGTATATGCAAGTCAAAATGTGATTCACCACATAAACAAAATTAAAATTAAAAAAAAATGATCATCTCAGTAGATGCAGAAAAGGCTTTTGATAAAATCCAACATCCCTTCATAATTAAAAATTTCAACAGACTAGGAAACAAAGGAACATACCTCAAAATAATAAGAGCCATCTATGGCAATCCTATAGCCAACATCATACTGAATGGGCAAAAGCTGGAAACATTCCCCTGGAAAACTGAAACAAGGGAAGGATTTTCACTCTCACCCCTCCCATTCAACATATAACTGGAAGTCCTAAACAGGGAAATCAGGCTAGAAAAATAAATAATAGGCATCCAAATTAGAAAGAAAGTCAAACTCTCTGTCTTCACTGAGGATACAATTCTATACTTAGAAAACCTAAAGACTCTGCCAAAAGGCTACTAGAACTGATAAATGATTTTAGCAAGACATCAAGATACATATCAATGTCATATAAATCAGTAGCATTTCTGTAAACCAATAATGTCCAGGCTGAGAGTCAAATTAACAACACAATCACATTTACAATAGCCATAGACCAAATGAAATACATAAAACTACAGCTAGCCAAAGAGTTAAACAATTTCTACAAGGAGAACTACAAAACACTACTGAACGAAATCAGAGATGACACAAATAAATGAAAAAACATTCCACTGCTCATGCATTGGAAGAATCAATATCATTAAAATGGCAAAGTAATCTACAGATTATATTCAATTCCTATCAAACTACCAATGACAATTTTCACAGAATTAGAAAAAACTATTTGAAAATTCATATGGAACCAGAAGAAGAGCCCAAATAATAAGCAAAAAGAAGAAAGCCAGAGGCATCACATAACCTGACTTGAAACTATGCTATAAGGTGATACTGATATGAAAGCACACACAGAGATCAATGGAACAAAAAAAAAACCTCAGGAATGAAGCTGCACATCTACAACCATCGGATCTTCAACAAGACCAACAAAAACAAGCAATGGGGAAAAAACTCCCTCATCAATAGATGTTGCTGGGATAACTGGCTAGCCATATGTGGAAGAATGAAACTAGATGCCTGCCTTTCATCATGTACAAAATCAAACTCAAATTGAATTAAAAATTTAAATGTAATACATCAAACCATAAAAATCCTAGAAGAAAACCTAGAAAATACCTTTCTCAATATAGGCAAATAATTTATGGCCAAGTTCCCAAAAGCAATTTCAATAAAAATAAAAAGTGAAGCAAGACCTAATTAAACAAAAGAGCTTCTGCACAGCAAAAGAAACAATTAACAAAGTAAACAGACAGGATACAGAACGGGAGAAAATAATCACAAACTATTACACACCTAAAAAATGTCTAATATGTAGGATCTACAATAAACTGCAAGAATTCAACAAAGAAAAATCAAATCACCCCATTAAACAATGAGCAGAGGACATGAACACTTTTCAAAAGAAGACACACATGTGGCCAACAAATATATGAAAAATGCTTATTATCACTAACCCTTAGAGAAATGCAAATCAACCCAGTGAAATACTACCTGACACCAGTCAGAATGGCTATTAATAAAAAGTCAAAAAACAACAGTTGCTGGTGAGGCTGCAGAGAAAAGAGAATGCTTATACACTGCCTGTGGGAATGTAAATTAGTTTAGCCACTGTGGAAAGTAGTTCGATATTTCTCAAAGATCTTAAAACACAGCCACCATTAAACTCATTAAACCATTACTGGGTGATAGGGTTTGGATTGTGTCCCCGCCCAAATCTCATGTCGAATTGTGAACCCAAATGTTGGAGGAGGAGCCTGGTGGGAGGTGATTGAATCATGGGGGTGGATTTCCCCCTTGCTGTTCTAGTGACAGTGAGTTCTCACAAGACCTGGTTGTTTAAAAGTGTGTGACACCTTCCCATTCACTCTTTTCCTCCTTCTCCAGCCATGTAAGATGTGCCTGCTTCTCCTTCACCTTCTGCCATAACTGTAATTTTCTTGAGGCCTCCGCAGCCATGCTTCCTGTACAGCCTGTGGAACTGTAATACAATTAAACCTCTTTCCTATAAATTACCCAGACTCAGGTAGTTCTTTATAGCAATGTGGGAATGAAGTAATACACTGGGTATATACCCAAAGGAATATAGATCATTATACCAACAAGATATATGCACTTGTATGTTCATTGCAGTGCTATTCACAATAGCAAAGACATGGTATCAGCCTAGGTGCCCATCAACGGTGGACTGGATAAATAAAATATAGTACATATACATTGTGGAATAGTACACAGTCCCAAAAATGAATGAGATCATGTCCTTTGAAGCAGCATGGATGGAGCTGGAGGACATTATCTTAAGCGAATTAACACAGGAACAGAAAAACAAATACTGCATGCTTTTTTATTATAAGTGGGAGCTAAACATTGAGAAAGTATACACATAAACATGGTGGGGGGGAAAATGCTGCAGACTGCTAGAGGAGGGAGGAAGAGAGGGAAGCATAGGTTTAAAAACTACCTACTGGGTACTATGCTCACCACCTGGGTCAAATATACCCTTGTAACAACCTTACATATGTACTTTCAGAATCTAAAATAAAAGCTGAAATTAAAAAAAAAAAAATCTCAGACGTATTCCTCTGAGGTCACATTAAAATAATTTTTAAAATACTTTATTATTAGCTTAATATCCTTCTTATGGGCCTCAATAGTTTTGTTAAGGACAGAAGACACTTACCACATATCCCCATAACATATATGTCATCCATAAGAATTCAGAAAATAGTCTTGACAAGCAAAATGGCTTACTAGTTTCTTTAGGCCATAGAATGTGCTGCATGAAGATCAATTTCTTGATTTTGCAATTATTTTCAATTATTTTCCTGTAAATGCCCTGTGAATTTACACGGCTACAGGTGCTATTTTTACTTGGCTATTCATCAACCTCTTTCTACTTAATCATCCAGATCATTTTCTTCAACATATTTCTTCAAAAGTGAGAACCCTTCAAAGTGAAACTATTGGTGTGTGAGTTAGAAAACAATTTATTCCAATGGAGGAAAAGCGTCTTACAATCTGAAAAACATTAAATGCCTGGATAGAAGCATCTTATGACACAAAATATTTTATTTGTCAATTATCAGTATTATAGAGCTAAACACATAAGAAGAAAAAACATACTCACTATAAAACTAATACTGCCTATTGTGTCTAAATTCTTAAACTTCGCATAACCTCTCTACTTTTAAGTTATTTCTATTATTTTGCACCTCTGTGAGAATTTACTAAAACTCCAAATCTCAATTATGCCATTCAACCTTTTATACAATAAAGGTGATTTTTTTCACTTCAAAATCCAAGGTTTAGACATCAACTAAAGAAGAAATGTAAACTAAAAATATACAGCTTTGAACATCAGTACAAGTATTTGTGTTGTAGAATTACAGTAGTAGTATATGCAATCATATAATATAAATACATATTTTATGTTGCAAACTGTTCACATAAAGCAGCCAGATGTGCTATCTTACACAGAAATTGACTTTAATGGATCCTATTGTACAACTTAGGTTTATTTAAAGAAAAGCAACTCAGAGAGTATCTTATTAAATAAATACAGTTAATCTGTAACCCCTTTGACATTATGTGCAGTGAAACATTACACTTAAATGAAAGTAAAAATGTTTACATTAGTAAGGCATACTCCATTAAAAGGAAAATTCTCCATCATCCTCAGTGGCAAAAAAAATGAAGTCTGTCTAAAATCAAATGTGGATATTTCTAATGGACTGGAAGAATGTAAATATAAATCAGTGGAGAAAGAGTGACAGGAATACAGACTAGAAAGGATAAAGATGGAATCAAGATGAGAACATTGCTTTGGCACCCTTTTTTTATTTAGAGGTTTCATGTCTTTCCTAATATTAAAAAGAAGGTGAATCCTTTCTTTGTTATTATCAATATGGAAGGCAATTAATTTATATATTTTACTTTACATAATTTTCTATTTTCATTACTTACAAATTTAAAATATATTTTATCTACCTATATTTTAAGGATAGACGTAGCTTTAGAAATGCTGAGGTTTGGATACATATAGTTGTCATGATTCTGTAAAGACAGTTACAGAAATCTGTCTACTGAAGACAAAATGGAGCTGGGCAAAATATGAAATGTTCCATCAAAACAACAAACAACATACAGAAATGAAGTAAAGGAGATAAAGTTTCTATCATCCGATTTTGTTTTTTAATGATTATGATACTTATTTTGAAAGTATCTGACTGATGTTTAAACACAGATGTTTAAAATTAATATTACAATAAATATAGAAAAAAATGGCCAAGCCTCAGAGAGAAAATTTACCTTTGATGTATTCCAAAATTTTAGTCACCATTTTTAGAGCAAATTTTATCTAGGAACAGTTAATTCAACCATCTCCAGTTATGTACAGATTCCCTTGGCAATAATTTTCACTGTCCTGATTTTTTAAAGTTCTACATTTTCTCTAAGATTATAATTTACATATTTAAATACTTCCTCTGCCTTCATAGACTGAGAATAATTGTCTCTATATTGTTGTACTATTCTCCCAAATTAAATATTTTTTTCTCAAAATGTGCTCAATTCTGCCAACAATGTCTCTTGGGCTTTATTTTATAAACATTTAATTATTTTGATTATCACGTTTGGTTTCCGTTATTGGATTATATTTTAACTGTGAAGATTAAAGGGTTTACAAGTGTTATAAAGTCTCAACAAATGGTGAGTAGAATAAAAAATCTTATTTTGGGACTAGGTGGGATGTCTTTACATTTGGTACTTTCCTATTGTGTGTGAAAATTGTATTCAGCTCTTAATTTTTAAAATAATATAGCCAATATGTAAAATTAGACTTATTAATTTTTATAGTTCATCTTGCAATATAATATCACTCATTACTATAACTGCATTCCTGTTACACATCCAATACCCAGCAGAGTGCCCAGTATATAATAGACTGGGTAAATATTTATTGAATGAATAATTAAATTACTGGCAGTTTCATGAGACAGCAGCAAATTGCAATATTAGGCTCTTTACAATTTTTCGCCTTGATCTATTTTATCTTCATTTACCTATTCCACACTGCTGGCCTTCAGAGAAATAATATAACATTCTGAAGTGGGGTGATTGTGTTTCACATCATAAGGAGCTATGGAATCACCTGATGGGAAGCGGAGAAAAGTTAAAAACAATCAAGATTATCAGAATTATTTGCAATAAGAGCACAACTGAAAGAAAACAATGGAGAAAAGTTTTGAGTTATATTTGGTTATCCAAAAACCTCAGATACTGTTATCTAATTTTATCCATGTGTACATAAATAGAGTCAGGAAAATTAAGAATGGGAAAATAAATTTAAGTTAAAAATCAAATTACAAATTCAAAGAAAAGCCCACACCAACCCTGTGCATCAATAGAAGAAGAATTTTTTCTCTCTATTCAGCCATACTTCACAGACATCCACCTGCACCTCTTCCCTTCCTCTAGAATGGTACATAGTAGAGATAATGAGAAAATGATTAAAAGGTAATTTAAGATCCAAATAGAACGATCACATTTGTCATGAAATGAAATTCAGAGTATTGAAAAATGCTTTTTAAATAGCCAGGCGATAACAATCCAGAAAAAAAAAAGTTAGTGTATCTGGGATTTTTAACGTCAGTGCTTTTTGTAAGACCAAAATACACTATTCTTAGGGAATTGCTAATTGCTTTGCTGAAGTTCCTTGGCAACCAGGAAAAGCTGCATATTAGAAAACCATCATCTACCATACTGTGGACACTCATTGATTATTTCTTTCACAACATAATGTGACGTGGATAATAAGCTATTGTATGCTTATATATAATAAGAGAAGGTCCTGACTGCCTAAATTAGATTATAACGCCTTCCCTTTTTAAGGACATAAAAGAAACAACACACCCTTGATCTGCCACCCATTACATCTCCATTAATTTCTCCAGAGATTGTAAATTATTTACAGCCCAGAATTCAGGTGAAAATCTTGTCATTCGATACGTAAAACTTCCAAAATTTTTCTTTCAAATGTTAGAAATAGAAGAGCTTCTGCAAAGCGTTAGAACATCTAATTCTGTATTTTTGTCGCTGTCAGGGTCCTTTTCAATCTCAAAATAATAACCAGGAGAGAATACTTTTCAGATAATATGTGAAGAGGGAGAAATTAAAAAATCAGCTGACAAGGTAATACCTCCTGAGTCTCCTCATACAGAGTTTGAGGAGGACAAGATAATGTGTCACAATTTGCTTTTTCCCCCTCTATTATTTGTTGAATAGTTTGAAAAGAAAAAGAATACTGAATACAACAAATCATTTGTTGTCAAATTCACCCATGAGTCTGAGATTTCTAATATAAAAGCAACAGATCTACAGCTGTTTAAGTGACCACATAGCAAGAAAGAAAGATAAAAGCAGGCAGGGCGTGGTGGCTCACGCCTGTAATCCCAGCACTTTGGGAGGCCGAGGAGGGCGGATCACAAGGTCAGGAGATCGAGACCATCCTGGCTAACACAGTGAAACCCCGTCTCTACTAAAAATACAAAAATTAGCTGGGCGTGGTTGCGGATGCCTGTAGTCCCAGCTGCTGGGGAGGCTGAGGCAGGAGAATGGTGTGAACCCGGGAGGCCTACCTTGCCGAGATGGCGCCACTGCACTCCAGCCTGGGTGACAGAGCGAGACTCCGTCTCAAAAAAAAAAATTAAAAAAAAAAAGATGAAAGCAATCCAAAGAAAAAAACCATCCGATTGAACAAGGTAAAATATCTATCAACCTATGCACTTTGTTATGTTTTCTCTGTTTGGGAAGAAACAATATAAGTATAAACACAATCAATAGGAAAAAAAAAGGTTCTCTAGAATTGTACAAAAACCATCACAATATCAGAGAACACAAATCCATCCTATGTCTCAGACTTCTTTCAAACATAAAGGAAATGGCAAACTCTCTGCATCTTTGAGGAAGTGACTAATGTTACAGGGAACAGAGAAGGATTTTCAATTTATTCCCAAATCCTTCATAATAATGAAGCCAGGTTCACATAATTTCTGTGTCACTATTTTAGGCAAGGCATATTTCATTAACTATATTACCCACACTTTGAAAGGTAAACATATCCAAAGCAAAGGCTATTGATAAAAATATAACTCAAACCAGACAAAATAATATATATATTGTCAGCACATTTACTGTTGAAATACAAATATTATAGGTAACTTAATTTGTTTCCTTTCACCCATGTTCATAAAAATGTTCAAAAAATGACATAAAAATGTCATTGTCTCCTTTATACACAAAGGCACTCTAATGAGGCATCCTCAATACTGTTAGTTTTGCACTGATTTATTTAAAACTTCCTACCCAATTTTCCTTGTAATCAATGGCCTACAACAATATTTTTAGTTATACGATTGAAAACCTAACAATTAAATATAAGCACATTTTACCTTTTTATGTTTTTGGAGTCACTATGGCATGAGACAGCTGACCATATTTCAGGATATAGTTTTATTTTATTTTTCAAATATTTTTTATTTTAATTTTTGTAGGTACATAGTAGGTGTACGTATTTATGGGGTACATGGGATGATTTGATACAGACATACAATGCATAAAAATCACATCATGTAAAATGGGGTACCCATCCCCTCAACCATTTGTCCTTTTTGTTACTAACAGTCCAATTATACCCTTTTAGTTATTTTTAAGTGTACAATTAAATTGTTCATGACTATAGTCACCCAGTTGTGCTATCAAATATTAGATCTTATTTATGTTTTTCTATTTTTTGTACCAATTAAGCATCCCCATGCTCCCCCCTGCACAGTCCTCCACCTTCCCATCACCCTTCCCAGCCTCTGGTGGCCATCCTTCTACTCTCTATCTCCATGAGTTCAATTGTTTTGACTTTTTAATTCCACAAATAAGTGAGAACATGTGATGTTTGCGTTCTCTGCCTGGCTTATTTCACTTAGCCCATAATGACCTCAAGTTCTATTAATGTTGTAGTAAATGACAAGATATCATTCTTTTTTATGGCTGAACCATACTCTATTTTGTATTAGTACCACATTTCTTTTATCCATTCATCTGTTGATGGACACATAGGTTGCTTCCAAATTTGGGCTATGGTGAGCAATGCTGCAACAAACATGGGAGTGCAGATATCTCCTTGATATACTAATTTCCCTACTTCTGAGTATATCCCCAGTAGTGTGATTGCTGTATCATATGGTAGCTCTATTTTTAGTATTTTTGAGGAACTTCCAAACTGTTCTCCATAGTGGCTATACTAACTTACATTCCCACCAGCAGTGCATGATGGTTCCCTTTTCTTCACATCCTCCTCAGCTTTTGTTATTTCCTGACTTTCTGATACAAGCCTTTTTAACTGGTGTGAGATGATAGCTCATTGTAGTTTTGATTTGCATTTCTCTGATAATCAATAATGTTAACCTCCTTGTTATATGCCTGTTTGCCATTTGTATGTCTTCTTTTGAAAAATATCTATTCAAATATTTTGCCCATTTTTGATTGGATTATTAAATAGTTTCTGTAGAGTTGTTTGAGCTCCTTATATATTGTGGTAATTAATCCCTTGGTAGATGGTTAGTTTGAAGACGTTTTTTCCCATTATGTGGGTTGCATCTTCACTTTGTTGGTTATTTCCTTCACTGTGCAGAAACTTTTTAACTTGATGTAATCTTATTTGTACATTTTTGCGTTGGTTGCCTGTGCTTGTGGGGTATTACTTAAAAAATGTTTGCCCAGACTTATGTCCTGGAGATTTTCCCAGATGTTTTCTTGTGGTAGTTTATTAACCAGGGTCTTAGAGTTAAATTTTGGATTCATTTTGATTTGATTTTTATATGCTGAGCGATAGGGGTCTAGTTTCATTCTTCTGCATATGGATATCCAGTTTTTCCAGGAACATTTATTGAAGAGACTGTCTTTTCCCCAATGCATGTTCTTGGCACCTTTGTCATAAATGAATTTGCTGTAAATGTGTGAACTTGTTTCTGGGTTCTCTATTCTTTTCCATTGGTCGTGTGTCTGTTTTTATGTCAGTACCTTCCAGCTTTGGTTACTATAGCTTTGTAGTATAATTTGAAGTCAGGTAATATGATTTTTCCAGTTTTAGCCTTTTTGTTCAGGATGGCTTTGGCTATTCTGGGTCTTTATGGTTCAATATAAATTGTAGAGTTGTTTTTTTCTATTTCTGTGAAGAATGTTATTTCTATTTTGATAGGGATTTCATTTAATCTGTAGATTGAGTAGTATGGGCATTTTTAAAATATTGATTCTTTCAATCCATAAATGTGGAATATTTTTTTCATTTTTTTCCTCTTCAATTTCTTTCACCAGTGCTTTAAAATTTTAATTATAGAGAACTTTCACTTCTTGTGTTTAGTTAATTGCTAGGTATTTAATTTTATGTGTGGCTACTGTAAATGGAATTACTTTTTTGATTTCCATTTCAGATTGTTCACTGTTGGCATATAGAAATCCCACTTTTTATGTTGATTTTGTATCCTGCAACTTTACTGAATTTATCAATTCTAGTAGTTTTTTTGTGGAGTCTTTTGTTTATTCCAAATAAAAGATTATATAATCTGCAAACAAGGTGTATTAGTCCATTTACACACTGCTGATAAAGACATACCTGAGACTGAGAATGGACAATTTACAAAAAAAAAAAAAAGAGATTTAATTGGACTTCAGTTCCACATGGCTAGGGAGGCCTCATAATCATGGCAGAAGGCAAGGAGGAGCAAGTCACATCTTACATGGATGGTGGCAGGCAAAAAAAAAAAAGAGCTTGTACAGCAAAGTTCCCGTTTTTAAAACCATCAGATCTTGTGAGGCCCACTCACTATCCTGAGAACAGCATGGGAAAGACCCACCCCTATGATTCAATCATCTCCCACCGGGTCCCTCCCACAACGTGTAGGAATTATGGGAGCTACAAGGTGAGATTTGGGTGGAGACACAGAGCCAAACCTTATCATTCCACCCATGGCACCTCCCAAATCTCGTATCTTCACATTTCAAAACCAATCATGCCTTCCCAACAATCCCCCAAAATCTCAACTCATTTCAGCATTAACTCAAAAGTCCAAAGTCCAAAGTCTCATCCAAGACAAGGCAAGTTACTTCTGCCTATGAGCCTGTAAAATTAAAAGCGATTTAGTTACTTCCTAGATACAATGGAGGTACAGGCATTGGGTAAATACAAGCATTCCAAATGGAAGAAATTGGCCAAAACAAAAGGACTACAGGCCCCATGCAAGTCTGAAATCCAGTGTGGCAGTCAAATTTTAAAGCACCAAAATAATCTCCTTTGACTCCATGTCTCCCATCCAGGCCATGCTGATGCAAGAGGTAGATTCCCATAGTATTGGGCAGCTCTGTCCCTGTGGCTTTGCAGGGTACAGCCTCCCTCCTGGCTTCCTTCACAGGCTGGTGTTGATTGTCTGTGGCTTTTCCAGGAATACAGCGCAAGCTGTAAGTGGATCTATCTTTCTGGGGTCTGGAGGACGCAGTACCACAGTAAGGCAGTACCCCAGTACCTCTGTATGGGGTTCCCACCCCATATTTCCCTTCTGCACTGCCCTAGCAGAAGTTCTCCATAAGGACCCTGCCCTACAGCAAATTTCTGCCTGGACATCCAAGCATTTTCATACGTCTTCTGAAATCTAGGTGGAGGTTCCCAAACCTCAGTTCTTGACTTCTGCGCATTCACAGGCTCAACACCACGTGGAAGCTGCCAAAGCCTGAGGCTTCCACCCTCTGAAGTCATGGCCCAAGCTCTACTTTGGCCACTTTCAGCCAAGGCTGGAGCAGCTGGGACACAGGGTATCAAGTCCCTAGGCTGCACACAGCACAGGGACCCTGGGCCTGGCCCACAAAACTACTTTTTTCTCGTAGGCCTCTGGGCCTGTGATGGGAGGGGCTGCCATGAATATTTTTGACATGCCCTGGAGATATTTTCCACATTGTCTTGAGAATTAACTTTCACCTCTTTGTTACTTATGCAAATTTCTGCAGCCAGCTTGAATTTATCCTCGAAAATTGAATTTTCTTTTCTATTGCATTGTCAGGCTGCAAATTTTTCAAACTTTTATGCTGTTTCCCTTTTAAAACTGAATGACTTTAACAGCACCCAAGTCACTTCTTGAATGCTGTGCTGCTTAGAAATTTCTTCTGCCAGATACCCTAAATCATCTCTCTCACTATCAAAGTTCCTCAAATCTCTAGGGCAGGAACAAAATGCTAGGAGTCTCTTTGCTAAAACATAACAAAAATCACCTTTGCTCCAGTTCCCAACAAGTTTCTCACTTCCATCTGAGACCACCTCAGCCTGGACTTTATTGTCCGTGTCGCTATCAGCATTTTGGGCAAAGCCATTCAACAAGTCTCTTATAATTCATTAATTTAAGCTGATAAAAACTTTATACTTTTTGAATAAGCAAACAAGCAAAAAGAAAACTAATGAAGACTGTAACCCTTAACTTCTCCCTGCTTTTTAACTTTTTGTCCTTTCTCTATATATCTTATTGTACTATGTATTGAAAAGTTACTGTAGTTACAATTTTTAGATGATTTATTGTCTTTCTGCTTAAGATAGGAGTAGTTTACACACCACAGTTACAGTGTTATATATTCTGTTTCTCTGTGTACTTACTATTACCGGTGAGTTTTGTACATTCAGGTGATTTCTCATTGTTCATTTATATCTTTTGCTTTGTTATCAAAGTACTCCCTTCAGCATTTCTTGTAGAACAGGTCTGATGTTGATGAAATCCCTCAGTTTTTGGTTGTATAGGAAAATCTTTATTTTTTCTTCATGTTTGAAGATTTTTGCCAGATATATTATCCTATGGTAGAAGTTTTTTTTTTCTTTTTTTTCTTTCAGCAAATAAACATGTTGTGCCACTTTCCCCTGGCTTGTAAGATTTCCAGTGAAAAATCTACTGCCAGACATATTGGAGCTCCATTGTTTGTTATTTTGTTTCTGTTCTCTCACTGCTTTTAGGATCCTTTCTTTATCCTTGTTCTTTATGAGTTTAATCATTAAAGGCATTTAGGTACTCTTCTTTGAGAAAAGTCTGCTTGGTGTTGTATAACCTTCTTGTACTTAGATATTGATATCTTTCTCTAGGTTTGGGAATTTCTCTTTTATTGTCCCCTTTAATAAACTTTCTTCCCCTATCTCTTTCTCTACTTCCTCTTTAAGCTAAAAAACTCTCTGGTTTGTCCTTTTGAGGCTATTTTCTACATTCAGTAGATGTACTTCATTGTTCTTTATTATTTTTTATTTTGTCTCTTCTGACCATGTATATTCAAATAGCCTGTCTTCAAGCTCACTAACTCTATTCTGCTTCTCAGTTCTGCTATTAAGAGACTGATGCATTCTTCAGTATGCCAATTGTATTTTTCAACTCCAGGATTTCTGCTTAGTTCTTTATGGTTATTTCTATCTCTTTGTTAAATTTATCTGATATCCCTTCTCTGTGTCATCTTGAATTTCTTTGAGTTTCCTCAATACAACTATTCTGAATTCTCTGTCTGAAAGGTCACACATTTCTGTTTCTCCAGTATTGGTCCCTGCTGCTTATTTACTTTATTTGATAAGATCATGTTTTTCTGAATGATTTTGATACTGTAGATGTTCATCTGTGTCTGGGCACGGAAGAGTTAGGTATATATTTTAGTCTTCTCAGCCTAGACTTCTTTGTACTGTTCTTCTTTGGAAGGCTTTCCAGATATTTGAAAGGACTTCAGTGCTGTAGTCTAAGCTCTATTTGCTTATAAGGCACCCCAATCCGAGTAACACTGTGGTTCTTGCAGACTCACTGAGGTGCCACCTTGATGGTCTTGGACAAGATCTGGAAGAATTCTCTGGATTACCAGGCAGAGATACTTTTTCTCTTCCCTTACTTTCTATGAAATGAACAGTCTGTCTCTGTTCTCAGCCACCTGGAGCTTGGGGTGGTATTTCACTATCACCTCTGTGGCTACCACCACTATGACAGTGCTCAGTCAGACCTGAAACATACAAAGTAGTGGGTCTCACCCAAGTTCTGCTAAATCACCCCCAGACTATGGCATATGTTCACTCAAGGCCTTAGGGCTCTACAATCTGCAGGTGGCTAAGCCAACAAGGTCTCTGTCCTTTCCTTCAAGATGGTGAGTTCTATTGCAGCTGAGCTGGCACGTAAGCCATAAGATGCAGTTCTTCCTACTTTTCCCTCCCCTTTCTAAAGGCAGAGAATCCTTGTCCCACAGCCACAGCCACCACAGGCCCATAGGAAGTACTACCAGTCTACCACCAATATTTCCTTAAGTCCCAAGGGCTCTTCATTCAGCTTATGGTGAATGCTGTCTGACTTGGAACTCACCTTTCAGGACTGTGGGCTCCCTTCTGGCCTAGAGCAGGTTCAGAAATGTCATCTAAGAGCCAACTCCTGCAGTCAGGGATGCCAAGAACACTCTTGGTGCTATATCCCCCTGTGGCTGAGCTAGTACCTAAGATGCAAGATGAAGATACCTTTGCTTTTCCCTAGGTTTTTCTTAAACGGAAGGACTCTTGCCCCATTGTCACCACAGCTGGGAATGTGTTGAGTGTTACCTAAAGCTAGCAAGTCTCAAGATCTCACCCAAGCCCCTCAGTGTAGTGCCTGGATATTGCTGCTCAAAAGGCTCTTCAGTTAGAAGGTAATGGACGCTTTCAAGACTGGGTTCTTCCCTTCAAGGAAACAGGTTCCTTTCTGGCCCAGGGTATGTCTAGAGATGTAGTTCAGGAGCTAGTGCCTGAAGAGTGGGCCTCAAGCCTCTGACCAGTGCCCAATTCTGCTCTGGCTAAACTGGTATCCAAGATGCAAGACAAAGTCCTTCCCACTCTTTCCTCTTCTCTTCTGGAGTGTAGAGTCGGGGTCTATTTTGGAGTCAAGAGTTGTACATCCTGGAGTTATGGGAGAGGTGAGGCCAGTACTCCTTTAGCTCCACGTGGCCCCTCCCAATCCACTGTCTCTAGGCTCAGTTCAGCACTAGGACATGGCTAGGATTTGCAATCCTTGTAGACTAGACTGCCTTTCAGGTTTATTTAAAGCCCCAGAGGACTTCAGCCAGTTGTGGCTAGGCTAGTGGGAACTCAAGTTCAGAACACTGGGATCTGTAATTCTCTTCTTGCTAGGGCTGGATTCAGTACTCCCTCCATGTATGGGCATCAGCTAAGTTTGGTCCAGTTTTTTTCCTGCTACAATAAGGCAGCACTGGGTTCAATGCCTCACAAATGCTGTGACCTCTCTCTTTCCCACAAACTTGCAGATGATGAGGTGTGAGGGATGATGGGAAGAGGCCACGTGTGTGATTCAAGACTGCTTTTTCTTCCTGTTCAGTGCCTTTCAGTTATATGAAGTTAAAATCACTTGCTGTGAGTGCTCACCTGATTTTTTGTTATTATGAAGGTGATTTTTGTGTGTGTGTAGATAGTTGTTAAAGTGGTGTCCTTCTGGTGGGGGGCAATCAGTGGAGCCTTCTCTTATGCCATCTTGTTTCACTGGAAAATCAGGACACAATTTTCAAGAAATGATGAGAGTGAAACTAAAAGATTCACGTGGCACTAAGCCTATGATTTTGATTCTGTTAATTTTACTGATTGAGCTAACCCAATAAGTAGATAAATTAGTTGAATATGGTATATTTCTCAACTACATTATAATGGACTGACACACACATGACAAAAACGATTAAGTTAAACATAAAAGAAAGAAAAGTAAAACCACTGATAGCAAGTCCAGTGCTCATTTATCATCACTAAAGCTGTAGAAAGTTAATGAATTTAATTGTCTTAGTCAAATCACTGTTGGGGGAAGCAACTTGCAGTTAACATTTTTATTATATAAATATGATGAAGTCCTGCTAAGTATCAGTAGAATTACTAAAACAAACAAAAACCAAAAACCACTGCTTCCATCTTACCTACAATACTGATATATGCATATATAAATTTACAAATGTGCCAAGAGAGATCTCTGAAAATTGACTTTTAATTTTTACATAAACCACCTTGAATCATTCCATTGTAAAAAAAAATGGCAATGAGACTTCATCAACTAATTTGGCATAGTACTTGTGAGGATTACATTATTAACAAAATGTTTAACTATTGAAGTAGCTTCCAGGAAGTATAAACATGCCCTAAAACATACCACATATAATATGTGATAAAAATAAGTAGTCATTGTTGTCGTGGTAAAAACACTGGAGAAAAACAGTATCTGTAGTTATAGTATTACAAACTTACCAGTTAATGATAGGTACTACTTAGCCTTTATTTCAGAATGACCATGTGCTGTTGATAATTTACTAAGACAAATATGTATTTCACTGACATTTGTCATTTCGTATTTATGAATTGCCAAGAAAGTACAAAACAAAAAAATATTACTTTTTCAAGAGTAGAAGATTTCTTCTAATTTTATTTTTCTTCGATTACCCCATTATTTTCTTTGGGGAATAGATGCTATCAAAAAAAGTAAAGCAAGCCATAGAAACATCTGTCTGGTGAATTTTATGTAGCCTTCACTGAGAAAAAATAATGATGCACCTGATATCCGACCACTTAAAATATTTGGAAAAAAGTAACTAGAGTCCCAGGGTAATAACCTATTGACATTTAATTAATTATGAAAATATTCTGTAGAATGGTATTTCACTTTTACATGAAAGTGATATATACAATGAGCACCTTTTTTTTCTTTCTTTTTTTCTTTTTGTTTCTTGAGACAGGGTCTCATATGTCAACCAGGCTAAAGTTCAGTGGTGTGATCATGGCTCACTCTTGAAATTTAGAACTCCTTATGAGTTAAAATTTGCCTTTATTTTGTTGGAATTAACTCTTAGAAAGATTATAAAAAGTTCTGGGTCAAATTTTACTAACCTGATATTTTGTCTCACAAAATTCAGAAAGACATGAATTCAGAATTTAAAAATTCACAACACTCCAATGTAAGCCTACAGGTAAACTTGCCTACAGTAGATTCAGAATTCACACCATTTTATTTATTCTTCATTTTTTTTTATTATACTTCCAGTTCTGGGATACATATGCAGAATGTGCAGATTTGTTACGTAGGTGTACACATGCCATGGTGGTTTGCTGCACCCATCAACCCGTGATCTACATTAGGTATTTCTCCTAATGCTGAACCTCCCCTAGTCCCCCACCCCCAATAGACCCCGGTGTGTGATGTTCCCCTCCCTGTGTCCATGTGTTCTCATTGTTCAACTCTCACTTATGAGTGAGAACATGAGGTGTTTGGTTTTCTGTTCCTGTGTTAGTTTGCTGAGAATGATGGTTTCCAGCTTCATCTATGTTCCTGCAAAGAACATGAACTCATCCTTTTTTATGGCTGCATAGTATTCCATGGTACATATGTGCCACATTTTCTTTATCCAGTCTATCACTGATGGACATTTGGGTTGGTTCCAAGTCTTTGCTATTGTGAATAATGCTGCAACATACATACGTGTGCATGTGTCTTTACAGTAGAATGATTTATAATCCTTTGGGTATATACCCAGTAATGGGATTGCTGGGTCAAATGGTAAAACGGTATTTCTAGTTTTAGATCTTTGAGGAATTGCCACACTGTCTTCCACAGTGGTTGAACTAATTTACACTCCCACCAACAGTGTAAAAGCATTCCTATTTCTCCACATCCTCTCCAGCGTCTGTTGTTTCCTGACTTTAATAATCACCATTCATTCTAACAGGTGTGAGATGGTATCTCAGTGTGCTTTTTTTTTTTTTTTTTTTTTTTGATGGAGTCTTGCTCTGTCGCCCAGGCTGGAGTGCAGTGGAATGATCTCGGCTCATTGCAAGCTCCGCCTCCCAGATTCAGGCCATTCTCCTGCCTCAGCCTCCCAAGTAGCTGGGACTACAGGTGCCCGCCACCATGCCCAGCTAATTTTTTTGTATTTTTAGTAGAGATGGGGTTTCATCGTGTTAGTCAGGATGGTCTCGATCTCCTGACCTTGTGATCCACCCACCTCGGCCTCCCAAAGTGCTGGGATTACAGGCGTGAGCCACTGCGCCCAGCCCTCATTGTGCTTTTGATTTGCATTTCTCTAATGACCAGTGATGAGCTTTTTTTCATGTTTGTTGACCACATAAATGTCTTCTTTTGAGAAGTGTCTATTCATAACCTTCACCCACATTTTGATGACGCTGTTTGTTTTTATCTTGTAAATTTGTTTAAGTTCTTTGTAAATTCTAGATATCAGCCCTTTGTCAGATGGGTAGATCGCAAATATTTTCTCCCATTCTGTAGGTTGCCTGTTCACTCTGATGGTAGTTTCTTTTGCTGTGCGAAGCTCTTTAGTTTAATTAGATCCCATTTGTCAATTTTGGCTTTTGTTGCCATTGCTTTTGGTGTTTAGTCATGAAGTCTTTGCTCATGCCTATGTCATGAATGGTATTTCCTAGGTTTTCTTCTACTGTTTTTATGGTTTTAGGTCTAACGTTTAAGTCTTTAATCCATCTTGAGTTAATTTTTGTATAAGGAGTAAGGAAGGGGTCCAGTTTCACCTTGAAACCAGAAAAATGTCTAGCCAGTTTTCCCAGCACCATTTATTAAATAGGGTATCCTTCCCCCAAACCCCATCGTCTCAGCCCAAAACCTCCTTAAGCTGATAAGCAACTTCAGCAAAGTCTCAGGATACAAAATCAATGTGTGAAAATCACAAGCATTCCTATACAGCAATAATAGACAAACTGAGAGCCAAATCATGAGTGAACTCCCATTCACAATTGCTTCAAAGAGAATAAAATACCTAGAAATACAACTTACAAGGGATGTGAAGGACCTCTTCAAGGAGAACTACAAACCACTGCTCAAGGAAATAAGAGAGAACACAAACAAATGGAGAAAGATTCCATGCCCATGGATAGGAAGAATCAATATCGTGAAAATGGCCATACTGCCCAAAGTAATTTATAAACTCAATGCTACCTCCATCAAACTACCATCGACTTTCTTCACAGAATTAGAAAAAATTACTTTGAATTTCATATGGAACAAAAAACAGACCGTATAGCCAAGACAATTGTAAGCAAAAAGAACAAAGCTGGAGCCATCACACTACCTGACTTCAAACTATACTACAAGGCTACAGTAACCAAAACAGCATGGTACTGGTACCAAAACAGATGTATATACCAATGGAACAGAACAGAGGCCTCAGAAATAACGCCACACATCTACAACCATCTGATCTTTGACTAACTTGATAGTTTTATTTTTAAATACCATGTGTGACTAACAAAACCATATTAATATGCTTGTCATTTATAACAGTCATGCTATAAAGAGTGCATAGAATAAAGTTTACCATCTTTAACATTTTTAATTGTTAGGTATACAGTTCATTCATGTTAACTATATTCATATCACTGTGCAGCCAATCTCTGGAAGTTTTTCATCTTGCAAAATTGAAACTTTATAATCATTTAACAAAAACTCCCAATTTTCCCCTATTTCCAACCCCTGGAAACCACCATTCTACTTTCTGTTTCTATGAAAATGATACTCTAGATACCTTATATAAGTTAAATAATACAGCATTTGTCTTTTTGTTACTGACTTATTTTACTTAGCTTAATGTCTTCAAGGTTCATCCATGTTGTAGTGTGTGTCTGAATTTGTATTATATTTAGGCAGAATGATATTACATTGCTTGTATATATATTACATTTTATTTATCCATTTATCCATTGATCACTTGGATTTCTTTTACTTTTGTCTATTTTGAATAATGCTTAGACATGAGTGTGCGATTATCTCTTCAATACCCTGCTTTGAATTATTTGCAAATATACCTAGAAATTAGATTGCTAGATGATATGGTAATACTATTTTTAACTTTTTGAAAAGCCACCAAACTATGTATGTACAAGAGTTCTGATTTCTTTACATTCTCTCACAACACTTTTTATTTTATCTTTCTTATACTAGACATTGTAATTGGTATGAGATGACACTCATTGTGGTTTTTATTTGCATTTCCCTAATGATTAGAGATTTTGAGCATCTTTTTATATGCTTGTTGGCTATTTGTATATCTTCTTTAGAGGAATGTTTATTCAAGTCTTTGTCCATTTTTTTAATTGAGTCATGTGGGTTTTCTTTTGTTGTTGAGTTGTAAGAGTTCTTTGTGTATTCTGGATATTGACCCCCATCAGACACATAATTTGCAAATATTTTCACCCATTTTTTGGTTTCCTTTTTATTATGTTGAGTGTGTTTTTCAATGCAGTCCATCTTGTTTGGTTTTGATTTTGTTTCCTGTGCTTTTAGTATCATATCAAAAATATCATTGCCAAACCCAATGTATAAACCTTTCCCTCTATGCTTTATTCTAAGAATTTTATAGTTTTTTTCTCTTATGTTTAAGTCTTTAATCCAATTTGAGTTAATATTTGCATATGGTATAAGTTAAAGGTCCAACTTTATTCTTTCACATGTGGATATCAAGTTTACACATGGTTATTTGTTGAAGAAACCATACTTTCCACATTCAGTAGACTTGGTTGACCCTATATGCAAGGGTTTAATATTGGGCTCTTTATTCTATTTCTAATTGCTTTTATTTCATTTTTTTCTTCTCCACCTCCTTTTTCCTTCTACTTGACAAAAATTTTATACATTTAAGTGTATAATATGTTTTGATATGTGTATACATGATGAAATGGCTAAACCAAGCTAATTAATATCATATGTATTGCCCAACAAAGTCACCATTTTGTGGGATGAGAATGCTTATACTCTCTTAGCAATGTTCAATTGTATAATTTATTGTTATTAACTATAGTCACTATGATGTAAAATAAGTCTCTTGAAATTATTATCTAACTGAAATTATATATTCTTTGACCAATAGCTCCCCAATCCCCCTCACTCCCAGGCTCTGATAACTGACATTCTACTCTCTGCTTCTATGAGTTCAATTGTTTTAGATTCTATATACATATGAGATCATGCAGTACTTGTGTTTCCATGCCTGGCATATTTCACTTATCATAATGTCTTCTAGGTTCATACATATCATCACAAATTACAGAATTTCCTCCTTTATAAAGACAGAATAGTATTCTGTTGTGTATAAAAACCACATTTCTTTATCTGTTCATTCATTGATGCCCAATTAGGTTGATTCCTTATGTTTGCTATTGTAAAAAATAATGTTGAAATGAACATGGGAGTATAAATATCTCATCAACATACTGATTTAATTTTCTTTGGATATATACCCACTAGTGAGATTGCTGGATCATATGGCAGTGTATTTTTTTTTTTAATTTTTTGAAAAACCTCCACAGTGGTTTTCATAATGACTCTAATAATTTGCACTCCCACCCATAGTACACACATGTTCCCTTTTCTTCATATTTTCACCAACGCTTATCTTTTGTCTTTTTGATAATAGCCAGTTGAACGGATGTGAAGTGATATTTTATTGTAGTCTTAATTTGCATTTTTCTGATGATTAGTAACATTTAGTATTTTAAAATATAAATGTTACGAATTTGTTTGACTGTTTTTGAAAAATGTTTGTTCAGATCCTATACCCATTGAAATGCATTATATATTTTCTTAATATTGAGTTGCTTGAGTTCCTTTTGTATCTTGGATATTAACCCATTATCAGATGTATGTCCTGGAAATACTCTCTCCCATTTCATAGGTTATCAATTCATTCTGTTTATTGTTTTCTTTTTTGTGTATATGCTTTTTAGTGTGATGTAATTCCATTTGTCTATTTTTGCTTCTAATGCTTGTGCTTTTGGTGTCATATATAAAAATTATTGCCCAGACCAATGTTGTGGAGGTTTTCCTTTATGTTTCTTCTAGTAGTTTCACAGTTGTAGGTTTTACACTTAACTCTTTAATTTATTTCGAGTTGATTTTTCATCTGATGTGAGATGAGGGTCTAATTTCTTTTTCTTCTGCATGTGGATATGCAGTTTTATCAACATCTTATTGAAAAGACTGTGTTTCCCCCATTGTGTGTTCTTGACATCTTTGTCAAAAATCAATTGACCATAGATATTTGGATTTATTTCTGGACTTTCTATTCTGTTCCCTTGGTCAATGTGTCAGTTTTTTATGCCAGTAATAGGCTGTTTTTACTGCTATCATCTGTAGGAGATTTTCAAATCACATAGTGTAACACCTTCAGCTTTGTTCTTTTTTGCTCAAGATTGCTTTAGCTATTTGGGTTCTTTTCTGGTTCCACATAAATGTCAAAATTATTTTTCTATTTCTGTAAAAAAATCCTTGAAATTTTGATAGGGATTGCACTGAATCTGTAGATTGCTTTGAGTATTATGGACATTTTAACAATATTAATCATTCAAATCCATGAACATAGAACATATTTCCATTTATTTGTGTCTTCTACAATTTCTTTTATCAGTATTGTGTGATTTTCAGTTTACAAATTTTTCATCTCCTTGGATAAATTTTTCCAAGTATTTTGGGTTTTTTTTGTAGCTTTTGTAAATGGTATTTTTGACTTATTTTTATATAGTTTTTCATTAGTGTACAGAAAAGTTACAGATTTTATATGTTCATTTTGTATCTTCCAACTTTACTGACATTTACTATTATTTTCAACAGTTATTTTGTGTAAGTCTTTTGAGGTTTTTCTCTTTTTTTACATGTAAGATCATACAATTTGCAAACAGAGACAATTTAGCTTTACCCTTTCCAATTCAGAAACATTTTATTTCTTCTTTTTGCCTAACTGCTCTGCTTAGGACTTCCAATATTATGATAAATACAAGTGGAGAAAATGAGCACCTTTTCTTGTTCCTAACATAGAGGGAAAAAAAATATTTCAACATTTCACTGTTGAGTATAACATTAGCTGTGGACCTCTCATATATGGCCTTTATGGTGTAGCAGTACATTCCTGAAAAACTCATTAGTAGAGAGTTTTTATAATGAAAGGATGTTGAATTATGTCAAATGTTTTTACTACAACTGTTGTGATAATCATATGGTTCTTGTCCTTCATTCTGTTAATGTGGTGTACCACATTTATTAATTTGCATATGTTTAACCATCCTTTCTTCTCAAGAATAAATTCTGCTTGATAGTCGTGAATGATAATTTTAATGTGCTGCTGATTTGGGCTTACTAATATTATTATTATTTTTTTAATGTTTTCATATGGAGTCTCCCTCTGTCGCCCAGGCTGGAGTGCAGTGGCGTGATCTCAGCTCACTGCAACATCTGGCTTCCAGGTTCAAGCAATTCTCCTGCCTCAGCCCCCCAAGTTGCTGAAATTAACAGGTGCACACCACCATGCCTGGCTAATTTTTGTATTTTTAGAGACAGGGTTTCACCATGTTGGCCAGGCTCATCTGAAACTCCTGACCTCAAATGATCTGCCTGCCTCAGCCTCCCAAGGTGCTGGAATTACAGGTGTGAGCCACCGCACATGGCCAGGGCTTACAATATTTTATTGAGTATTCTTGCATCTATGTTCCTCAGGGATATTGGCTTGTAATTTTCTTTTCTTGAAAAGTCCTTATCTGGCTTTAGTACCTGAGTAATGATAGACTTACAAAATTCATTTGGAAGTATTCTTTTATCTTCAGTTTTTTGGAATAATTTGGGAAAGAATGGCATCTTTAAATGTTTGATAAAATTCAGCAGTTAAGCCATTAGGTTCTGGGCTTTTCTTTTTTGGGATACATTTAGCTACTGATTTAATCTCCTGACTTGTTATTGGTCTGTTCAGATCTTCTGTTTCTTTATAATTTAGTCTGCATAGGTTGCATGTTTCCAGGAATTTATCCATTATTTTAGATTATCCAAAAGTTGACATGTAATTGTTCATAGTAGGCTCATGATTCTATGCATTTCTATGGCAACTGTCATAATGTCTCTTTTATTTCTGACTTTATTTATTTGAGTCTTCTCTTTTTTTCTTTGTTAGTCTAACTAAAGGTTTGTTGATGTTACCTTTTCAAAAAAACAGTTTTTACTTTGTTGATTTTTTCTATCATTTTTCTATTCTGTATTTCATTTATGCCTTCCCTTATCTTTATTATTTCCTCCCTTCAGTTAATTTTGGGATTAGTTTGTTCTGTTTCTAGTTTCTTGATGTATAACATTAGACTGTTTATTTTAAATCTTTCCTCTTTTTTGATGTAGGTGTGTATTGCTGTAAATTTTCCTCTTAGGAATGTTTTGGCTGCATTTCATAAGTTTTAGTATGTTTTGTTTTCCAATTTCTGTTGTCTCAAGATTTTTTAAATGTTTATTTTAATTTCTTCTTTCATGCATTGGTAGTTCAGTAGCATGTTGTTTAATTTTTACATATTTGTGAATTTTTCAAATTTTCTTCTTTTATTGATTTATGGTTTCATACAATTATGATTGGAAAAGACACTTAATATTATTTCAATTTCTTAAGAACAATCATGACAGCTCAACTTCCAGGAAGCCACATCAATAGGAAAAAGGGGAGAGTACTACATCAAGGGAATACCCCATGGGACAAAAGAATCTGAACAAAAGCCTTCAGCCCTAGTCTTTACCTCTGACAGAGGCTACCCAAATGAGAAGGAACCAGAAAACCAACTATGGTAATATGACAAAACAAGGCTCTTTGACACTCCCAAAAAATCACACTAGCTCACCAGCAATGGATCCAAACTAAGAAGAAATCCCTGATTTACTTGAAAAAGAATTCAGGAGGTTAGTTATTAAGTTAATCAGTGAGGCACCAGAGAAATGCAAAGCCCAGTGAAAGGAAATAAAAAAAAAAAAGATACAAGCAGTGAAGGGAGAAATATTCAAGGAAATAGATAGCATAAACAAAAAACAATCAAAACTTCAGCAAACATTGGACACACTTATAGAAATGCAAACTGTTCTGGAAAGTCTCAGCAATACAATTGAACAAACAGAAGAAAGAAATTCAGAGCTCAAAGACAAGGTCTTCGAATTAACCCAATCAAACAAAGACAAAGAAAAAAGATAAGAAAATATGAACAAAGCCTCCAAGAAGTCTCAGATTACATTAAATGACCAAACCTAAAAATAGTCAGTGATCCTTAGTAATAAGAGAAATCTAAAAGTTTGGAAAACATATTTGGGGAAATAACTGAGGAAAATTTTCTCAGTCTTGCTAGAGACCTAGACATCCAAATACAAGAATCACAAAGAACACCTGGAAAATTTATTGCAAAAAGATCATCTCCAAAGCACATTGTCATCAGGTTATCTAAAGTAAAGACAAAGGAAAGAATCTTGACTAGTGCTATGAGACAAAAGCACTAGTTAACCTATAAAAAAAAACCTCTCAGATTAACAGCAGGTTTCTCAGCAAAAACCCTACAAGCTAGAAGGAATTAGGGCCCTATCTTCAGCCTCCTTAAACAAAACAATTATGAGCCAAGAATTTTGTATCCAGTGAAATTAAGTATCATATGTGAAGGAAAGATATAGTCTTTCTCAGACAAACAAATACTGAGAGAATTTGCCACTACCAAGCCACCACTACAAAAACTGCTAAAAGAATCTCTAAATCTTGAAACAAATCTTAGAAACATATCAAAACAGAACCTCTATTTATGCTTTATAGCATAAATCACACAGGACTTATAAAACAAAAATACAATTTAAAAGGCAAAAAACAAAAACCAAAATACGTAGGAAATGAATAGCATGATGAATGGAAGGGTATCTCACATCTCAATACTAACATTGAATGTAAATGACCTAAATGCTCCACTTAAAAGATACTGCACTGCAGAATAGATTAGAACTCACCAACCAACTACCTGCTGCCTTCAAGAGACTCACTTAACACATAAGGATTCACATAAAGTGGTGGAAGAAGGCATTTCATGCAAATGGACACCAAAACTAGCAGAGGTAGCTCTTCTTACATCAGACAAAACAAACTTTAAAGCAACAGTCGTCAAAAAAGACAAAGAGGGACATTTTATAATGACAAAAGGCCTTGTCCAACAGGAGAATATCACAATCCTAAACATATATGCAGCTAACACTGGAGCTCCCAAATTTATAAAGCAATTACTAATAGACCTAAGAAATGAGATAGATAGCAACACAATAAAAGTGGGGGACTTCAATACTCCACTGAGAACACTAGAAATGGGTCATCAAGACAGAAAGTCAACTCCAAAAGGAACCTTCAAAACCATACAAATACATAGAAACTAAATAACCTTCCCCTGAATGATTATTGGGTCAAAAAGGAAATCAAAATGAAAATTAAAAAATTCTTCAAACTGAACAACAATGACGCAACCTATCAAAACCTCTGGGATACAGTAAAGATGACGCTAAGAATAAAGTTCATAGCCCTAAACACCTACATCGAAAAGACTGAAAGAGCACAAGCTGGCATTCTATGGTCACACCTCAAGGAACTAGAGAAAGAAGAACAAACCCAACCCACGCCCAGCAGAAGAAAGGAAATAACCAAGACCCACAAGTAATGGAGATACAAAAACGCCCTGACAAAAAGTTTAAAATAATTGTTATAAGGAAGCTCCATGAACTAGAAAATATGGGAATACAATTTAATGAAATTAGAAAAACAATAAACAAAATAAAAATATAACGGAGATATACTGAAATCATTAAAAAGGAATTCTGCAGCTGAAGAACACAATGAATAAAATGAAAAAGCAATAGAGAGCAAAAACAGAAGAATTGATGAAGCAGAAGAATGAATATGTGAATTTGAAGATAGATTACTTGAAAATTAATTAGAGAGAAACAAGATCTTTGCCACGCAGGAAATCAGTATAATAACTGATAGGTAGTTTTTTAATCCTCACCCTCCTCCCAACCTCTATCCTCAAGTGGGCCCCAGTGTCTATTGTTCTCTTCTTTGTGTCCATGTGTACTCAATGATTAGCTATGACTTACAAGTGGGAACATGCGGTGTTTTTTGTTCTGTTGCTGCATTAATTTGCTTAGGATAATATCATAGGAGTAGTATCAGATAAGTTAAAAAAAGACTATTTCAAGAAAGACATTTGTCAAACATTTTTACAAGTAAAATATTAATTTGACCTTTTATTTCTCATTTTACTTTCCTCTTACAAAGACACATAAAACTTGCTTCTCATACCCAGTACCAATAAATAAAACACTTTTTACCAGTCCAAACAATACATAAAGATATTAAATAAAAAGCATCTATAACCTTCTTTTCATCTGCCTCTTCCTCATTCTATCACTCAAAGGCAAACATTGTCAAGAGTTCCTTGTGTTTCTGTAAAAAAAAAAAAATGTGTACTTTAGGAGTAACTATTCTCCTTGATTACAATTTTTTGCTTCCCTACAGTCCTCCAAAGAGTGAGGTATTAATCTTTTAAAGCTGGGATATGATCATGTCATCACCCTGCTTGAAGCCCTCATTATTTACCATTGCATTGGAAATAGAATTTACATCTACAAATTCCTACATGATCTTGCCTAGAACTACCTCTCTGCCTCATTGCACACATTAATGTCTGAATTCAGATACGGTGGCCTTTATTTAAATTCTCTAAGAGAAGTTCTTTCCCAACTCAGAATTTTGAATATGTTCTTTCATCTACTGAATGCCTTTTCCCTCCACCTTTTGCATAGCCAGCCCCTTCTCATCCTTCAGGTCTCAGTTTACTGCTAGTTACTCAGAAAATGTATCCCTGACCACCAGATTTAAAGTAAGTCCTGGCATCCCACAGTATTATCTATTCTTCATTTTTTTATTTTCTTTCACAGTAGTATACCACAATTTGTAATTTTTTGCTTACTTTTGCTTATTTGTTTATTTTCTGCCTCTTCCACTGCTTAGTGCACTAAGTTCCAGGATTGTATGGAGCTCATTTGTACTGTTCACTGATGGACATGTAGAACCTAGAACTGAGTTAGTACATCTCAGACACATAACATCCATTTTGTGTAAGACAAGTACTAATGTGTTTTCTCTCATTAGAGATTAGTTTGCATTTTCTATAATTTAGTATGAATCAAATCTTTTAATATTTATTCATATTGTCATGTATGTCAATATTTTTTTTCTTTTTGAGTAGTATTTCATTGTGAGAATACCACAATTTGTTTATGCATTCACCTGTTAATGGACATTTAGATAGTTGCCAGTTTTTTGCTATTACAGATTAAGTTGCTATTAATATTCATATACAAGTATGAAAATATGCTTTCTTCTTTAGTAAATACTGTCCAATGGTATCACTAGATCATATGGTAAATGTATTTTTAACAACATGTGGACATGCCAAACTGTTTTCCAAAGTCACTGTACCAGTTTACATTTTTATAAACGGTGTATCAGTGTTCCTTTTCATCCTTGACAGAATTTGGAATGATCTTTAAAAGAAAAATTTGGACATTCTAATGGACAGGTAATGGTATCTTATTGTGATTTTGGTTTACATTTCCCTAATGACTAATGATTTTAAGCATCTTTTCTTGTGTTTATTGGCTATTTATATATATTTTTATGTATAAATCATGTGTCATTAAACAATAGGGATACATTGTGAAAAATGTATCCTTAGGCTATTTTTTCATTGTGTGAACATCATACAGTGTACTTAAACAAACTTTGATAGTTTAGCCTACTACACACCCAGGCTACATAATATAGCCTATTGCTCCTAGAATACAAACATATATGGCACGTTGCTGTACTAAATACTGTAGGCAATTTTAACACAATGGTAAATATTTATGTATCTATACATAGAAGAAATACAATAAAAATATGGTATAAAAGGTGAAAAAACGATACACCTGCATGAAGCACTTACCATCGTGAATAGAGCTTATAGGACTGGGAGTAGCTATGAGTCAATTGGTAAGTGGTAAGTGAATGTGAAGGCCTAGGACATTACTGTACACTATTGTAGAGTTTATAAACACTGTACACTTAGACCAGACTAAATTTTAAAAGTTTCTGTCTTCAATAATAACTTAACCTTAACTTACTGCAACTTTTTTACTTTATAAACTTTTTATTTTTTTTAACTTTTGACTCTTTTGTAATAACACTTAGCTGAAAACACAAACACATTGTACAGTTGCACAAAAATATCTTTACTTATACCCTTATTCTATAAGATTTGTTTGCTATTTTTAATTTTTATTTTTTTAAACTTTTTAACTTTTATTATTAGAAACAAGGCACAAGCACACATAGTAGTTTAGGCCTACACAGGTTCAAGATATTCAATATAACTGCCTTCCCTCTTCACATCTTGTCCCACAAGAAGATCTTCAGGGGTAATCACATTTGTGGAGCTTTCTTCTTGTATAATAACAATGCCTTCTTCTGGAATATCACTGAAGAATCTGTCTGAGAAGGTTCACAGTTAATTTATTTTATAAGTATTAATAGAAGGAGTACACTTTAAAATACAATAAAAATATAGTATAATAAATGCATAAACCAGTAACAGTCATTTGTTATCATTATCAGGTGTTATATATATACATAACTTTTATATTATTCTTTTATATCAATGGCAGTGCAGTAGATTTGTTTACACTAGCATCACCACAAACACATGAGTAATACATTGTGCTGTGATGTTACAATGGTTAGGATGTCACTAGGTAATAAGAACATTTTCAGCTCTATTATAGTCTTATGGAACCACTGTCATGTATGTGGTCTATTTTTGGCTGAAATTTATTACTTGGCTCATGATTGCATCGTGTATTCAAATATTTTGCCCATTTCCTTTTTGGATGGTTTGTATTCTTATTGAGTAGAAAGATATATTTACATATTGCAGACACAAGTCTTGTGTCTAATATCTGTTATGCAAATATTCTATCTTAGTGTGCTCTGTTTTCAGCATGCACATACACATTTATAATTGTATGGCTTCCTAATACATCATCATATTTATCATTATGAAGTGTCTCTCTTTATCTCTGGTAACCTGCTTTGTCTTGAAATATATTTTGTCTGATACTAAAATATCACTCAAGCTTTCTTATGCTTAATATTTGTAAGACATCATTTCTCTATATTTACCTTTAATCTATTTATATACTTATATTGAAAGTGTGTTTCTTAGAGACAGATATAGTAGAGTACTGCTTTTTTCCACTCTGTCAATGGCAACCTTTTAATTAAGTGTTTGCACGGGTGTCCAACCCTTTGAATGCAAGATTTTTTTTTGCTTACCTATGGTGATAGATACAACTAAACTTATGCAAGATTTTTTTTAAGCTCATCTGCTATTGTTAGCGTTAGTGTATTTTATGTGTGGCCCAAGACAATTCTTCCAATGTGGCCCAGGGAAAAAATGTTGAACACACGTGGTTTAGACCGTTAAAATGTAATCTAAATAGTAATATTTTTACTTTAGGTTAACCATCATGTTGTTGTTATTATTATTATTATTATTATTATTATTATTGGAGTAACAAAAATGTCATTTAGTCAACATTTATTTAACATTGAATATATCATATTCCCGTAGGCTCTGGGAATACAGGAATAAACCAGATAGACAAAACAGTCTGTCCTTTTGACTGCTGGGATTATCAGCCTTGCTTAACTACAAGGCTTAACAGAGGTTTCAACTATAAATCTTTTTTAAAAATTTGTATTTTACTTTAAGTTCAGGGATACATGTGGAAGACGTGCAGGTTTGTTACATAGGGAAACGTGTGCCATGGTGGTTTGCTGCACCTCTCAAGCCATCACTCAGGTATTAAGCCCCACATGCATTAGCTACTTTCCCTGATGCTCTCCCTCCCCCTGCCCCCAACAAAGGCCAGTAGGTGTTGTTCACCTCCCTGTGTCCATGTGTTCTTATTGTTCAGCTCCCACTTATAAGTGAGAACATGCTAACCATTGTATTATTTATTTTCTCTGTGTCTCTTATGTTTATTTATTCCTCTATTTTTCCTTCTCTATTTTCTTTTTAAATATTTAAAATATTTGGATACTTTTATTTTTATTTTTATATGAACCTGTTTACTATAACCCTGTGTGTGGTTTTTCAGTGGTTGATTGATGATTTGCAATAAACATACTTAACAATTCACAGTCTACTTAAAGTTAATATTGTGCCATTTAACCCCAAATGTAGAAATCTTGCAACTAGTTTCTCTTTATTGATGTTATTGCTACAATTGTCAAAAAATTATGTTTTCATACACAGAAAACCACACCAGACTATGTTATATTTACTTTACAAAGTTGTGTATATTTTAAGAACTTAAGAGAAAATAGTCTTTTATAGTTTGGTAGATAAATACCATTTCAGTTGTTCTTCTTTCCTTCCAGAAGATTCAAGCTTCTCTTTGATATTCACAAATAACTTTAGTATTTCTTGTAGAGTAGCTCTATTCGTGATGAAATCTCTTAGTTTTCCTTCATCTGAAAATGCCATTGTTCATTCCTGATGTGCTAGGAAAATAGAATGCACAGTTGACATTTTTTTTCTTTTTAACTTCAAAGATTTTGTTCCATTGTTTTCTGGACTTCATAGTTTCTGATGAGACTTCTACAATGTTTGAACTCTTGTTCCACTGTGTGTAATTTATTATTTTGGGGGGAAGATTTAAAGGTTTTATTCTTTAGCTTTGGTTTTCAGCAGTTTAATTGTGATGTGTATAGACATAGCCTCTTCTGAATTTATTCTATTTGAAGACTGTTGAACTTCTTAAATCTGTGAATGTATGCTTTTCCCTACATTTGAGAGGTTTTTGGTCATTATGTCTTCAGATAAATTTTCCACTTCAATCTCCTTCTCTTCTTCTAGAATTCTAATTACTTTTGGATAGTGTTCCACAAGTCCCATTGCTCATTTTTTCAATTTTTATTATTCTCTCTTTTACAATTTGGATAATTTCTGGTGATCTAGTAATTTTCTTTTTAGTTTCCCTGATTCTTTCCTATGTCAATTTTTAAAATTGCTGATATTGAACTTTTTGTTCTAAATATTCCATTTTGTTCTTGTATTATATTTTATATTTTCTCCGATAACGTCTATCTTTCTATTTATGGCAAGTATGTTTACCTCTACCTCATGGAACACAGAATAGCTGTTATGTTACAGGGTATTAAGTTTTGGTTACACAAGATAAATAAATTACAGAGATTAACTGTACAGTATAGTGCCTATAGTTAGCAATATTGTATTGTTTACTTAAAAATTTGCAAAGAGTTTAGATCTTATGTGAAGTGTTCTTATATTATCAATAATAATACTAATGATAATAATAATAAGTAAAGACAGCAGGAGGAGGTTTTTGGAGGTGATAAGTTTATGACATAGATTGTGGTGATGACTTCACAAGTGTATCCTTATCTCCAAACTTATCAAGTTGTATATACATTAAATATGTATGGCATTTGTGTGTCAATCACATTTCAACAAATGCAAATCAAAATCACAATGAGATAGAATATCACACTAGTAAGATGGCTATTACTAAAAAGTCAAAAAACAACATATGCTGGCGAGGTTGGAGAGAAAAAGGAGCACTTATATCCTGCTGGTGAAAATGTAAACTAGGTCATCCACTGTGGAAGGCAGTTTCGAGATTTCTCAGAGAACTTAAAACAAAACTACCATTCCAAGCAGCTATCCCTCTGGCGGATATATGCCCAAAAGAAAATACATAATTATATCAAAAAGACATATGCACTAATATGTTCATCACAGCCCTATTCACAACAGCAATAGAATCAACCAAGATGCCCATCAACAGTGGACTGGTTAAAGAAAATGTGGCACATATACACCATGGAATACTACACAATCACAAAAAATGAAATCATGTCCTTTGCGTAAACAAAAATGCAACTGAAGGCCATTATCTTAAGTGAACTAATGCAGGAAGAGAAAACCGAATACCACAATACACGTGGACACAAATATGGGAACAATAAACACTGGAGACTACTTGAGAGGGGAGAGTGGGAGAAGAGTGTGGGCTGGAAGGCAACGTATTATATACTACGCTTACTATCTAGGTAACAGGATCATTCATACACTAAGCCTCAGCAACGCAAAATTTACCCATGTAACAAACCTGCACATGTACCCCCAAGAACCCAAAATAAAAGTAGAAGAAAATAAAAGTAGAAATAAATAAAAGTTTCATAAAGAAAATATACTCAAAATCATGATAATAATTTACATATTATAAGAGTTCCATCACAAAATAAAATCAACAGTGTTAGGAGAAACTGAAACTAATTTATAATGAATTCAATGAACTATAAGTTCTATGCTGCATGGAAATTAGGGACTAGAATTAATTCTTGATTCATGCCTATTCCAACCTCAACAATGCTTATCCTCTGAGGTGTATCATCAACAATTTGACATTCCAGTTAGTTAAATTCAATGCAATTTTTAAGAACAATAAACATAGAGAAAAAAATTTTAAGTATATAAAGTTATTTCAGCCAACAAATGTAGGGTAATTGCTACAAGTAAATGAATATCTTGTCACTACCCTATACATTCTCAGATAATTGCTAGAAATAAATGTCTACCTCGTCAATCTGCAAAAAAATAAATAAATAAATAAGTAAAAGTTTTGGTCTGATAGTTCCAACATTTTAAAATTATTTGGAATCTAGGAAATTATTATTTGTTTTATCAGGCAATCAACCTGATTCAGACTACATATTTTACTTGAAGTTTCTCTGAGACTATCCAAGCAGGTTATTAAGCAGGGACTTTGAAATGACAGCATGAAACTCAAGAGAAGAGCTGCGTATAGATATGGAGTCACATACCTAAAGACAATAATTGAAACAAATGAGTGTATTAATAAGACAATATGTGTAAAAATGAAAGGTTAAAAAATGAATAAAATACAAATCTAGGTATCAGATAAGAAAAACAAGAAAAGAGATAAAGATATCAAGCTTAGTTTTTGTCACCGTGCCTAGATTATAGTTGATGATCAATAATATCTGTTGAATCTGTGAATAAAAAGACAACATAAGGATGAAGTGAAATAATTCTAAAGTTAGAATAGAGTTAAACATATTTTGAGTTAAAGAGAAAGAATACAGTATATAGTTAAATAGAATAAATTGAGATTAGAGACATTGATAAAAATATAAGGACTCTGTATTAGAAGCAATGCATCATGGTGGCATTATTACAAATTTCCTGATATGATAGAAAAAGTCATAGGATTCAACATGTACCTTTAGTGGTAAAAAAAAAAAAAACCTTTACTTTGCAATTAATTGAATTACATAAAAGTAAGGGAAAAGAAGGTATCACATCAGATCTTCATAAGTGAGTGGTTAGATAAATAATGGTAACCCATTCTTTAAGATAAAGTAAATAGAAGAGTTTATCTTTAACATCTCCTTTTACTCCACCCTCTACATTCCAAACAAGGCACTATAAAAAGGGGCATAGCACTGACATCATCAAGTGGTATAAACATCAAGATAAGAGATGTTTCTTACATAAAAGGGAAAGAATAATTATTGAAACGTGAAGAGAATCCCATCTCCACATCACAGTCCAATTCCATATGAATGGTGAAATTAAAGATAGCATCCACTAGGGAATATTTTTATTTATCCTGTGAAAGAACAATGTTTTTTAAAGCAAAGGAAGAGAAATTATTCTGTGATAAGAATTTAGAATGTAAAGAGATTTGTTCACAAAGGAACAGTAGAATGGTAGGGATGAAGGCCAGTGGTAGTGTTGAAAAGAGCTGAGGTAAGGGTGTGTGCAGTGTCATAGGGAGTTAATAATACAGAGGAAATAGTTTTAGAGAGGCATTATCTTTTAGCTGGCCATTAAGGGTACCAGAAGTTCAATCATGGGTAGAACTTACTGATCTTAAGAAGTCTATTATTGATGAGAGAACTAACAAAGGATTGCGGGTTTAACCTGTTCTGACTTTGATATGTGTTTCTGTTCTTGCCTGTGCCACCCCTTAGGTTGGTGAGAGCTGCCTTTAGGTTACATGGGAGCAGCAAGGAGGATACTTGTATGGATGGGATCTACCACAATTTGAGCAGCCTCTAGTTTTGGTGAGATCTGCCGCACTATCTGTAAAATGGACAAAAAAGAGAAAAGGACAATTGAACACAGAGGTGCACAAGAAAGAAGCAATATGAGCTCATACCTAGTTTTCTTTTGCTGTTGGTCAGAGATGATTTCTTTATTGTATTTAAATATACATTACATAAACTTTGTCAATTTAACCATATTTAATTGTACAGTTTTTGGCATTAATTACTTTCACAACATTTTGCAACCATAACTACTATCTGTTTCCAAAACATTTATTCCACCCAAAACAGAAACTCATAACCATTAAGTAATAACTCCTCACTACCATCATCTACCCGCAGCCCCTGGTGACCTCTAATCTACTGTCTGTCTCTATGAATTTGCCTATTTTAGATATCTCACCTTCATTTCCTAAAAAAGATATTGGTCATTGGTTAAGAGTGCTGAGTTATCATCTTGAGAGGACTGGCCACTGATGGTATACTGAGACAACATATAAACTAGAGAACAGTAAACAGCTTACAATGGCCAGAATAGTCATAAAAATGAGCTAAGTGACTCAAGTATCATCCAGTAGATATTTCTTGGAACTGAAATATTAGAAAGACAATGTTCTATCTAAAGGTTACAATGACTTTTCAACTCCTGCCAACTGTTGTCATTAATTAATTAGAAACTCAGTGCTGCCAGAATTTTCTTTTTTAGGAAAACTAGAACATTCGGACTGTTAGGCAAAAAATCCAAAATTTGAAAGTCTGTAGGTCAAATCTGGCCCTCATGTCATCAGCTTATGGACTTTATTATTAAAAAGTCTTATTTCTTTGCAAAAAATGCTATTATATTTTAAATGGCATGCGTTTGTAATGGAACAAAGATATAAGCTTTGTGACATTTTTGAGCAACTTTGAGAGGTCCAGGTATATATGCACAAAATGAGTATTTCCCAAAGATGAGGAATGGCAAAGCAGAACTAGCAGAAGGTCAGGAATCCAAGGAATTCTAGAATGGTAAGTTATTTCTTTGTGCCTTTATATTATTTAATTCATTTTTTTCCTTTTGATAAAACTGTATATATTTATCATGTACAACATGATGTTTTGAAGCTTACATAAGTTGACTAATGGTTAAATCTAGCTAGTAATGTATTACCTCACATTGCTCTCATTTTTGTGATGAGAACACTTAACATGTACTCCCTTAGCGTTTGTCAAGAATACAGTATATTATGGTTAAATATAGTCGCCTTGTTGTACAATAGATCTCTTGAATATATTCTTCCTATCTTCCGACCAACATCTCCCCTACCTCCCCTTCCTCCTAACCACCCTAGCCTCTGTAACCACCATTCTACCGTACTTCCCTGAGATTAACTTTTTAAGATTACATATATGAGTGAGATCATCTGGTATTTATCTTTCTGTGTCTTTTAAAAGTAGTGCCTTGCAATTGATAAGCATTCAATAATTACTTGTTCAATGGTTAAAAAAAGGAAAGAAATAAATATCAGTTGATATGATCTGATTGGACCATTCAAATTAATAATGCCTTCATTAAAGTTATAAAAAGGCATTTCACTTTCTAAACATTTGGAAGAGGCAGCTTTTTAGCTTTTCTGGATTTTCCTAAACTAAGAAAATTGGTGATAATTCATAGGGTCCCATTTTGTGAGAAAGTTTTAAGGATTTTCTGTTTTAGATGTCAGAATAATAAAAAAAAGTTTAAAAACAGTAACTATGAAGATCCTTCTGGTGAGACTGACAATAAGTGTGTTTTACTTTTTGAAACACTCAATATTTACTTTAAACATTTTATATAAAACTATATTGATCTGTCCTACAAAATATCCCCTGAAAAACAAACATGGTGTTAATTTAAAACAGGAGATACAGGCCTAGAACACCGAAAGTTCAAGTCCCTTTTTCTGTTCCAAGAAATACATAATAAATTTTTATTCAGTATTTATTTACTTGAGTACTATTGAAAATTGTCTCAATTCTCACAGCCTTGGCTTCAATTTTTTTTTTTTTTTTTTTTTGTCCTCTGTGATATAAATTCTGATGGTTCCCTCTTGTGGTGAAAATCAGAAAATCAGAAGAGGTTCTAAGTATTTCATTTTATTTTCTTGTTTATAAAAAGTCTAAAATAAAACCCACTGTGAAAAAAATCAAAATGTATAAACTTAGTTATTTATGAAATGTTTGAATTTATTTTCCCTGTCCTCAAGAACTTAATAGCTAATAGGGAATAAAGGCACAGGAGCAGATATTTCAAGATAGTGTTATTGATACAAAAAGGAATGATTTTCATAACAAGCAGTAGTGGCACAAAGTAAGTGTCTGATTCCTTCTACCTCTTGGGAATGTTAGGTAGGAAATAGTACTGTTTGTTTGATTCTTCAGGGCTTTGGTTAGAATGCTAAGCTACAATTATGTGAGAAGAAAGCCAAGTGTCATAATTACCCTGGAGGCAGAATGGCGAGGGCTCAACACTGGGATCAGAAAAAAAGGGAACTAAGGCAAATATTAAGAGTCAAACTTGAGAGCTAAACAGAGATTAATTATCCAGGGATGATATTAGAGATGAGCAATAGGTAGACTTTGGCCAAAAACAAAACAAAACAAAACAAAACAAAAAGGTGTAGAAAATTTCACAGGTGATTTCTTTCTTGTAGTAAAATATATATTACATAAACTTTGCCACTTTACATTTTTTCCTTTGCACATCTTAAAATTTTTTAAAAAAATTTTTAAATAATTTTAAATTTATTTAAAATTTATTTAAAATAATTTTAAATTTATTTAAAATTTATTTAAAATAATTTTAAATTTATTTAAAATTTATTTAAATATTTTTAGGGGTACAAGTGATTTTTCATTACATGGGTGGATTGTTTAGTGGTGAAGTCTGGGCTTTTGGTGTACCCATCACCAGAATAGTATATATTGTAACCAACAGGTAATTTTTCATCCCTCACCCCGCTCCCAAACTCCCCACTTCTCAGTCTCCAGTGTCCATTGTACCACTCTGTATACCTTCATGTACCCATAGCTTAGCTCCCATTTTTAAGTGAGAACCTGTGGTATTCGGTTTTCTATTCCTGAGTTACTTCATTTAGGTTAATGGCCTCGAGTTCCATCTACGTTGCTGCAAAACATATTATTTCTTCATTCTGTTTTATGACTACGTAATATTTCATCATATATATGTATATATATATGTGTGCATAGGTATATATATATGTGTGTATATATGTATATATATGTGTGTGTGTGTGTGTGTGTGTATCGCACACTTTATCCACTCATAGGTTATTGGGCATTTAAGTTTGTTCCAACTCTTTGCATCTGTAAATGGTGCTGCAATAAACATACATGTGCAGTTGTCTTTTGTATATAACGACTTATTTTCCTTTGGGTAGACACCGAGCAGTGGGACTGCTGGGTTGAGTGGTAGATCTACTTTTAGTTCTTTGAGAAATCTCCATGCTGTTTTCCATAGAGGTTGTACTGATTTACACTCCACTAACAGTGTATAAGCGTTTCCCTTTCAGCAAATCCACACCAACATCTATTGTTGACTTTTTAATAATAGTCACTCTGGCTGGGGTAAGGTCTTATCTCACTGTGGTTTAATTTGCATTTCCCTGATCATTAGTGATGTTGAACATTTTTTCATGTGTTTGTTCATCATTGGTATATCTTCTTTTGAGAAATTTCTATTCATGACATTTGCCTATTATTTAATAACATTATTCATTTATTTCTTGCTGATTTGAGTTCCTTATAGATTTTAGATATTAGTTATTTGTTGGATATATGGACTGCAAATATTTCCTCCCATTTTGTAGGTTGTCTATTTATTTTCTTGTTATTTCTTTTGCTGTGCAGAAGCTTTTTAGTTTAGTTAATTCCCGCTTCTTTATTCTTTATTTTTATTGCATTTGCTTTTGGGGTCTTAGTCATAAATTATTTGCCTAATCCAATATCCAGAAAAGCTTTTCCTGTTACCTGCTGGGTTTGTTATAGCTTCAGGTCTTAGATTTAAGTTTTTAATCCATCTTGAGTTAGTTTTTGTATATGGTAAGAGATAGGGAACCAGTTACATTCTTCTGCCACTGACTATTCAATTTTCTGAGCACCATTTATTGAATAGTTATTTTCCCAGTGTACGTTTCTGTCTGTTTTGTCAAAGATCAGTTGCTATACATGTTGGGCTTTATTTCTAGGTTCTCTATTAGTTTCCATGGGTCTATGTATCTACTTTTATACTAGTACCATGCATATTTGGTTACTATAAACTTATAATATAATTTTGATTTGGGTCATGGAATACCTCCAGCTTTGTTCTTTTTACTTAGAATTGCTTTAGCTACTTGGGCTCTTTTGTGGTTCCATACGAATCTTAGAACTTATTTTTTCCTAATTCTCTGAAAAATGACATTGATGTTTCAATAGAAATCTCATAAAATGTGTGTATTTCTTTGAGCGGTATGGTCATTTTAACAATGTTGATTATCCCAATCCATGAATATGGAATGTTTTTTCATTTGTTTGTAACATCTCTGATTTCTTTCAGCAGTGTTTTTGTAGTTCTCCTTGTAGAGAGCTTTCACTTCCTTGGTTACGTATATTAGGTTTTTTTTTTTTTTTCGCAGCTAGTGTAAATGGAATTGAGTTCTTGAATTGATTTTCATCTTAGTCATTATTGGTCTATAGCAGTGCTACAGATTTGTATACATATATTTTTAACCTGAGACCTTAGTGAATTCATTTATCACATCTAAGAGTTTTTGGAGGAGTCTTTAGGGTTTTCCAGGTATAAGATCATATCATCAACAAGCAGAGATAGGTTAGCTTTCTCTTTTCCAATTTGGATGCCCTTTATTTTTTTCTCTTGTTTGATTGCTCTGCCTAGGACTTCTATTACTATGCTAAACAGAAGTGGTGAAAGTGAGCATCTTTGCCTTATTCCAGATCATAGGAAGAATACTTTCAACTTTTCCCCATTCAGTATGATGTTGGCTGATGGTTTGTCATATATGGCTTTTATTAATTTGAAATATGTTCCTTCTATGCCTAGTCTGTTGAAGGTTTTTATCATGAAGGAACTTTGGATTTTGTCAAATGCTTTTTCTGCATCTATTAAATTGATCATATAGCTTTTGTGTGTAAGTTCTTTAAATGTCTGGTAGAATTCAATTATGCATGTGTCTGGTACTGGGCTTTTATTTGTTGGGAGATTTTTTATTACAGAGTTAATCACTATGCTTTCTGTTAGTCTTTTCAGGATTTCTATCTATTCCTGATTCAAGCTTGTGAGGATGTTTATTTCAAGGAATGTATTCATTCCCTCTAGATTTTATAGTTTCTTTATATAGAAGTGTTCATAGTAGTTTCAGATGATCTTTCATATTTCTGTGATATCCATTGTAATGTCTCCATTTGCATTTCTGATTGATCTTATTTGAATCTTCTCTCCTCTTGCTTAATCTACATAGTAGTCTGGTAATTTTACCTTTTCAAAAAAAACAACTTTTTATTTCATTGATCCTTTGTAATTTTCTCTTCAATTTCATTTATTTCTGTTCTGATCTTTGCTATTTCTTTTCTGCTAGCTTTGGGTTTGGTTTGTCGTAGTTTCTCTAGTTCCTTGTGGTGCAACATTACCTTGTCAATTTGTGATCTTTCTGTTTCTTTGATGTAGGAATTTAGCAGTATAAATGTTCCTCTTAGCACTGTTATTGCTCTATCCCAGGGATTTTTATAACCTGTGTTACTGTTATCATAAATTATGGAAATTGTGTAAATTTTCATCTTGATTTTATTATTGACCAAAAGAGTATTCAGGAGCAGATTAATTTCCATGTATTTGCGTAGTTTTGACAGTTCCTTCTGGAATTGATTTCTAGTTTTATTTCACTGTGGTCTGATAAGATACTTTACATAATTTTGATTTTCTTAAAATGTATTGAGACTTGTTTTGTGGCCTATCATATGGCCTATCTTGGAGAATATTCCATGTGCTGATAAGAAAAATGTATCTTTTTCAGGTTTTGGGTAGAATATTATGTAAATTCCTGATAGGTCCATTTGTTCTAGAGTCCAGTTTAAGTCCAGTATTTATTTGTTAACTTTCTGCCTCAATGATCTCTCTAGTGCAGTTAATGGAATGCTGAACTCCTTCATTATTATTGTATTGCTGCCTATATCTTTTTTACGGTCTAATAGTATTTGTTTTATGAATCTGTGAGCTCTGGTATTAGGTGCATATATATTTAGGATTGTTATATCTTCTTCTGAAATAGATCCCTTTGTCATCATATAATGACCTTATTTGACTTTATATTATTTTATAATTGCCTTCTTTGTCTTCTTTGTCTGCTGTTGATTTACAGTTTGTTTTGCCTCATACGAGAACAGCTACTCCTACTCACTTTTATTTTCCATTTGCACAGAATTTTTTTTTCCCACTTCTTTACCTTTAATCTAAAAGAAACTTTACGTGTTAGGTGGGTTGCTTGATGGCAACAGATGTTTGGTTTGTGTGTGTGTGTGAGTATGTTTAATCCATTCTGCCAATCTATATCTTCTAAGTGGGGCACTTAAATCATTTACATTCATAGAAAATATTGAGAAGGTGAGGTACTGTTCCAGTCATCATGTTGATTGTTACCTAGTTGCTTTATTTTCTTCATTGTGCTGCTGTCACATAAGCCCTGAGAGTTTCATACTTGCAGGCATTTTTATTTTTGGTTGATTTATTCCTTTTACTCTTTACTTTCAGTTGACATGTAATAATTGTACATATTTATGGCATACAGAGTAGTATTTTATTCATGCATTTTGATACATGAATACAATGTATAATGATCATATCAGGGTAATTAGCACATCCATCACCTCTAACATTTATTATTTCTTTGTAATGGGAAATCTCCGAATCCTCTCTTAGCTTTTTGAAAATATGGAGTAATTTATAACTAACCACATTTGCCCTACAGTTTGGCAGAATATCAGAGTGCATTTCTCCCATCTAGCTGTAATTTTGTATTCAATAACCAACATCTCCCCAAGCTCCCTTCTTCCTTACTCTTCCCAGCCTCTATACCCACAGTTCTATTCTCTACTTCTGTGAACTCAAAAATAATGTTTTCAGTTCCCATGTGAGTGAGAACATGTGGTATTTATCTTTCTGTAACTGACTTATTTTGCTTAACATAATGTCCTTCAGGCTGAGACTCAGGCCTTGATCCAGAGAAATGATGAATCTGCAGGTATCATGGAAATGGCTAGATGAAGTGATTAATTTGTACTTAATTCATAAAAGAACAGCTTTGTTTTCAAATTTGAAATTCATGTATTTATATACAGGTGTGTATCAACCTTTGAGGTTGATGTTTAGAACACCTTTGAGCATTTCTTACAGGGCTGGCCTAGCAGTGACATATTGCTTAAGCATTTGCTTTACTGGGAAATATTTTATTTCTCTTTCATTTACAAAACTTAATACGACTGAATATGGAATTATTGGCTGACAGTTATTCTATTGGAGGAGACTAAATATAGGATCCCAAGCCCTTCTGGCTTGTAAGATTTCTGCCGAGAAGTCTGATGTTAGTCTGATAGATTTTCTTTTGTAAATTATTTGATTATTCTGTCTCATTGCTGTTAGAATTATTTCCTTCATGTTGTCTTTAGATAATCTGATGACAATATGCCTTGATGATGTCCTTTTTGCTATGAATCTCCCAGGAGTTATTTCAGCTTCTTGTATTTGCATATCAAGTCTCTAGCAAGGCCATGAACATTTTCCTTAATTATTCATTCAAATATGTTTTCCAAGCTTTTTTCCCCCTCCGAAGCACCTATGATTCTTAGGTTTGGATGTTTTACATAATCCCATATTTCTTGGAGACTGTTCACTTCTTTTCATTCTTTTTTCTTTATTTTTGTCTGATTCAAAAGCCTTGTCTTCATGCTCTGAAATTCTTTCTTCTACTTGGTCTAGTGTATTGTTAAAACTTTCCATTATATTTTGTAGTTCTATAACCGAGTCTTTCATTTCCAGAGTTCTGTTTGTTTTTCTTAAAATGTCTATGTCAAGAACATTTTTCATTCATATTACAAATTACTTTTTTATTTTTTATGCAGAAATCTACATTTGTATGTGAAATCTTTATATATTTAAATCTTTTTTATTTAACTTTTAAGTTCAGGGGTACTTGTGCAAGTTTGTTTATAGGTAAACTTATGTCATGGAGGTTTGTTGTACAGATTATTTCATCACCCAGCTATTAAGCCTAGTACTCAGTTCTTTACATGACCCTCTCCGTCCTCTAACCCTCCAACAGGCCTCGGTGTCAGCTATTTCCCTCTATGTGTCCATGTATTCTCATTATTTAGCTCCTACTTATAAGTGAGTGCATGTGGTATTTGGTTTTCTAGTCCTGCATTAGTTTGCTAAGAATAATGACCTCCAGCTCCATCCATGTTTCTGCAAATAATATAATCTCTTCTTATGACTGTATAGTATTCCATTGTGTATGTACCACATTTTCTTTATCTACTCTACCTTTGATGGACATTGAGACTGATTTCATGTCTTTGTTATTTTGAATAGTTCTGCAATGAAAATATGCATGCATGTGTCTTCATGATAGAACAATTTATATTCCCTTGGGTATATACCCAGTAACGGGACTGCTGGGTTGAATGGTATTTCTGTTTTTAGGTCTTTGAGGAATTCCCACACTCTTTTCCACAATTATTAAACTAATTTACATTCCCACCAACAGTGTATAAGTATTTATTTTATTTCACAACCTTGTCAGCATGTTATTTTTTGACTTTTTAATAATAGCCATTCTAACTGGTGAGAGATGGTATCTCATTGCACTTTTGATTTGCGTTTCTCCAATGATCAGAGATGTTGAGCTTTGTTTTTGTATGCATGTTGGCCACATGTGTGTCTTGTTTAAAAAATTGTCTGTTCATATCCTTTGCCCATTTTAATAGGGTTTTTTCTTTTTTATTGTAGTAAATCTGCTTACATTCCTTATAGATGCTGGATAATAGACCTTTGTCAGATGCATAATTGGCAAATATTTTCTCATATTACGTAGGTTGTCTGTTTATTCTATTGATTGTTTCTCTTGCTGTCCAGAAGCTCTTTAATTTAATTAGATCCCATTTGTCAATTTTTGTTATTGTTGCAATTGCTTTTGTTGTCTTTGTCATAAAATCTTTGCTCTTTCTTATGTCCAGAATGGTATTGTCTAGGTTTTTATAGTGTTAAGTTTTACATTTAAGTATTTACTCCATCTTAAGTTAATTTTTTTATATGGTGTGAGGAAGTGGCACCATTTCAATCTTCTGTATATGGCTAGCCAGTTATCCCAGCACCATTTATAGTTTAGGGAGTCCTTTCCCCATTGCTGGTTTCTGTCAGCTTTGTGAAAGAGCAGATAGTTGCAGGTTTACAGCCTTGTTTTTCAGCTCTCTATTATTTTCCACTGGTCTGTGTGCCTTTTTTTTTTTTTTCCAGTACCATGCTGTTTGGGTTACCATAGGACAGCATGAAGCGGAGTAGCATAATAGTAGCATAATATCTTCAACTTTGCTCTTTTTGCTTAAAATTTTCTTCACTATTCAGACTCTTTTTTTGGTCCTATGTGAATGTTAATATAGCTCTTTTTTTTTTCTAGTTCTGTGAGGAATGTCATTAGTGGTTTAATAGCAATTGCATTGAATGTGGAAGTTGCTTTGGGCACTATGGTAATTTTTTTTTTTTTCAGACAGAGTCTCCCTCTGTCGCCCAGGCTGGAGGGCAGTGGTACAATCTCGGCTCACTGCAACCTCCGTCTCTCAGGTTCAAGTGATTTTTTTGCCTCAGCCTCCCCAGTACCTGGGACTAGAGACACATGCCATCACGCGAAGCTAATTTTTTTTGTTTTGTTTTGTATTTTTAGTAGAGATGGGGTTTCACCATATTGGTCAGGCTGGTCTCAAACTCCTGATCTCATGATCCGCCCACCTTGGCCTCCCAAAGTTCTGGGATTACAGGCATGAGCCACCATTCCCAGGCACTACGGCCATTTTAATAGTACTGATTCTTCCTATCCATAAGCATGCAATATTTTTCCATTTTTTGTCATCTCTGATTTCTTTGAGCAGTGTTTGTTTGTTTGCTTGTTTGTTTGAGATGCAGTCTCACCTTGTTGCCCAGGCTGGAGTGCAGTGGCGGGATCTCAGCTCACTACAACCTCCACCTCCTGCATTCAAGCAATTCTTCTGCCTCAGTCTCTTGAGTAGCTGGGACTACAAGCACGCAACACCATGCCCAGCTAATTTTTGTATTTTTAGTAGAGATGGGGTTTCATCATGTTGGCCAGGCTGGTCACGACCTCCTGACCTCAAGTGCTTTGCCCACCTTGGCCTCACAAAGTGCTGGGATTACAGGCATAAGCCACTGTGCCCGGTCCTGATCAGTGCTTTGTAGTTCTCTTTGTAGAGATCCTTCACCTCCATCGTTAGCTGTACTCCTAGGTATTTTATTATTTTTGTGGCAATTGTGAATGGAATTGCTTCCCTGATTTGGCTCTTGGCTTGACTGTTGTTAGTGTATAGAAATGCTAGTGACTTTTGCACATTAATTTTGTATCCTGAGACTTTGCTGAAGTTGTTTATCAGCTTAAGGAGCTTTTGGGCTGAGATTATGGGGTTTTGTAGATATTGGATTATGTCATCTGAAAACAAGAATAGTTTGACTTCCTCTCATCCTATTTGAATGTCCTTTATTTCTTTCTCTTGCCTAATTTGCCTGGCCAGGACATCCAGTACAATGTTTAATAAGAGTGGTGAGGGAGGGCATCCTTGTCTTATGCCAGTTTTCAAGGGGAATGCTTCTGGCTTTTGCTCATTCAGTATGACGTTGGTTGTGGGTTTATCATAGATGGCTCTTATTATTTTGAGGTGTGTTTCTTTAATACCTAGTTTATTGAGAGTTTTGAACCTGAAGAGCTCTTGAATTTTATTGAAAGCCCTTTCTGTGTCAATTGAGATAATCATGTACTTTTGTATTTAGTTCTGTTTATGTGATGACTTACATTTATTGATTTGAATATGTTGAACCAACCTCTCATCTCAGGAACAAAGACTACCTGATTGTGTTGGACTAACTTTTTGATGTGCTGCTGGTTTCAGTTTGCCACTATTTTCTTGAGGATTTTTGCGTCAATAGTCATCAAAAATATTGGCCTGAAGTTCTTTTTTTCTTTAATTTGTTGTGTCTCTGCCAGGTTTTGGTATCAGAATTATGCTGGCCTCATAGAAGGAGTTAGGGAGGAGTCCTTCCTTTTCAATTTTTTGGAATTGTTTCAGTAGAAAATGGTGCCAGATTTTCTTTGTACATTTGGTAGAATTTGGCTGTGGATGTTGATTTGTAATTCATCTTGTCATGGGCTTTTCTTTGTTTGGTTGGGTTTTGGTTGGTATAGTATTACTGATTCAATTTTGGAGCTCATTACTGGTCTTTTCCACAATTCAATTTCTTCCTATCTCAGTCATGGGAGGTTGTATTTGTCCAGGAATTCATCCATTTCTTTTAGATTTTCTATTTTTACGTGCATAGAGCTTTTCATAATATTCTCTAATGGTTATTGGTATTTCTGTGAAGTCAGTGGTAACATCCCCTTTGTCATTTCTAATTATGTTTATTTGGTCTCTCTTTTCTTCTTTGTTGGTCTAGCTAGTGGTCTATTTTATTAATATTGTCAAAAAACTCTTGTATTTCTTGATCTTTTGAATGGTTTTTCTTGTCTCAATTTCTTTCAGTTCAGCTCTAATTTTGGTTATATGAATTATTTTTAACTTTTTTATGTTGGTTTTCAGTTTTCTCTTGGATACCATTGAATAGCTTTATGATTCACATTTTGAATTATTTGTCTGGTATTTCAATTATTTCATTTTAGTTTGAATCTATTGGTAGAGAGTTAGTGTGATCTTTTCAGGGTGTTATAAAATTCTTGGTTTTTTTTTTCATATTGCCAGAATTATTTTTTCTCATTCCTTCTCATCTGGGTAGATTATTTATTCTTATTATTATTGAACTTATTTTTTATTTCACTAGATCTTTCCTTTTTGAGAATGTGACTTCAATATGTTTAGTTCACGGTCACCTATCTTTGGTTCTGTTTGCCTTCAGTAGAAAAGACTGTGTGAATCCTTAATTACAGAGAACCTTTGTGTGATGACGTTCTCAGATGATGATAGTAGTAGTTATGTACTTGTTGTGAGCAGGTTCACTCTCTCCTGTGAGGCCAGAATTGCAGAGGTGTCATGAAGCTTACAATGTTTCCCAATGGTGCGCACTTTCTTTTCCCAGTGCTTTTTTGCACTAGGTTGAACAGTTTAGTCTTCCGCCCATTAGGAGGTATCTATGGATGAAAACCAGCTGCAGCTGAGGCACGTGGGTACATGCAATAACACAATGGTGGACAAAAGCCCCATTTTTGACAGAAGTGGCTGTGGGGGCTTCCAGTGGAATACACTGTGGTCTTCGCAGGGTGGAGTGAGGGAGCCACCTCAGCTCTGCTACCAGGCAAGCAGGAAAGCAATCTGCCTCCCTATCATGTTTCTATCCCAGTGATCTGGATATTCCAATCAGACAGGCACCTTTGTCCATCTGCAGAAATGCTAACATTCTGTGTAAAGAGGCAGTAAGACTCTCTACCCTTCATGCAAGCCTGAGCCCAGAGGACACTTCTCCCATGAAGATGCAGTTACCTCAAAGTGCCCCCAGAAAGGCAGTCAACAGGTGCAACAATGCTGATCTCCCATGGGGAAGCCCCAGCTGTGACTGCAGTGGTAAGTGAGAGGGAGGAGAAGTCTCCTGCTCCAAGTCCCTTCCTGAGCACTGGAGCTGCTTGACTACTGGGGCAGAACTGATGCTTTTACCCACTGAGCTCAACACTGTGGCTGTGCCTCTGCTGAAAAAAAAACTTCCCACAAGCAGGAAGTTCTGGAACACAGAAAAGCCTGCCCTCTTGTTTCTTTTGTTCCATGGGGTGCTTCCTTGTTGTGGTATACTCCCTCTTCCCCTAAGAGTACCAATCTCCCAAGGGCCAGACTACTGTGAATTCTGCTGCTCCTCTGGGTCTAGCTGCCCTCTGGGGATGCTGCAATCTAAGCTGGTGCTGGTGAATGTCTGCAAGGGATCCAGTAATGAGAAGACACAAGGGCTGGAGGTCTCTGAGCAGAACAAAGTCCCATGATGCATGCACACCCAGTATAGTGCACACTAATACAGCTTGGGTCCAGGAGGAAAGGGAAAGAAACTTGCACGTGCAAGGTAATCCCCTCGAGAAGTCCCCAAATCACAGCCCACTCCTGTACTTGGTCTTGTGGGGGCAAAGAAGCTCTTTTTGAGTTTGGATACCAGCAATCAAGGGCTAGAGAGGCTGACATCTTTCCCACTTACCTTTTCCACAGAATACGAAGTCTCTCAGGGTTTGATCTTTGCCAGCTTCTTCTTACTTTCTTTCTGTGTGTATCATAGATCCTTCCAATTAACTTTCTTATAGGTTCCAGCACTCTCCCCTTAGCACTCTGCTTGGGCTATTATTATTCACTTCTAGTATAGGTTCTTCCTTCTGAGGATAATTAGTCACCAATGTCTCTAGTTAGTCACCTGGATAAGCTATCCAATGCCTCAGGCTATGGACAAGTCTGGCGGACTTGTAGTGGCTTGAGCTCTGTTCTTAGCTCCAGAAGAGGATAATATAGTGTGGAGCTACACTGGGATGACCTGTCCTCTGGTCTCCCAGTAGCAGGTGCATGCATCTCCTCAGATGGGTGGTGCAGGAGAGTGGCATAAACTCTATAAGATGCCATTAGTTGTAAATACCCTTAATGCGGTGGCTTTCTCAGTTACTAGCTGTAGTAGTAATGTACTGGATGCATAAATAGGCTTAAGGCCCTGAGTAGCCACGGTGGTGTGGGCAATGGTGTTAGCTGAGGTTGCACAAAGTATTTTTCATTCCTGAGTGCTGTGTTACTGTGTCAGCAGATGTTGTAATGGGCTGTGTGAGGTGACCTCTGGCCAAGAGATGGTGCTTGCCGAAGAGGGCCAGGCAGTGGCGGCTGTGGAATTTATGCTTGGCTTATGCTACCCAGGCCAAGTACTCAGATCTTCCAGGTGATGAGTGGGGCCATGAGCCTCCCAATAGTCATTTTTATTGTGTTATGCTACAAAGGCCAGTTGAGGGGCAATGTTAGATGAGTGAGGAAAGTCCACATTCTGGCTACCCACATGTGGACACAAGCCAATGGGGATTGGAAGGCAGTTTCCTGTGTACTGAAGTAGTGCTCCAGGGAGGAGTTAAACTGCCTCTGCTGCTCAAAAGAATTGGCATGAGAGAGGGGTGTAACAAGCAGCAGTGAGGCGTGCCCTGCTCCCCTGTCCTTGATATGGTGGATCTCACGCCCCTAGACTTCTCCTGGCAACAGCTAGCTGGGTCTTGGGCAGTTCTGGGCTTACAGTGTAAAACTTCCCTAGGCCACAAGCCTTCCCACCTGGGAAAAAGGCCACAGCTTTCAGGACACGCCCCTCCCATTTACCCACAAAACAGGGGCACCCAGCACCCACACCCATGGCAAGAGCATGCTTCCTGCTCACCTTCAATTCTGTTTAAAGGAATCCTTCCCACTCTAGATTAGATTGCACATCTCAGTCGGAAGATGCTGCCAACCTGTGACCACCACTTGAGTTAGTTGGCAGAATTCTATGAGGTCCCCTATGAGTCAGATCAGGAATATCTTCTCTCTGTCTTTGCTGGGCTATGAGAGTGCACACAAAACACTTATTGATGCCTCTCCTTCTCATGTAGTCCTCACTACTCACCAAATAACCTTCAACACTGGGTAGAGTTAAGGCACTCACTCCCTCATTGCCTGGATTTCCCAGCTCCCCAGTGAGAATAAGTATCATGCAGACAGTTTCTCCCCCTTTCAAGCTCTAGAAACACAGTTTTCTGCCTCTCTCAAGGTAGAGATTGCTGCGCACCTCTCCATGCAATGTGTCTGAAGTTTCTTTCATTTTTTGTGTTAGGCACCTGTGTTTCTTCTCCGATGAAAGTTTACAGTGTGAATCTTCACACTCTATTTTACTCTAAGTGGATGAGGCACATTAATAAAACCCCCAATAAACCATCTTGAAGATAAAACCATTTTAACCATATTTCAATGTACAGTTCAGTGGCACTAATTACCTTCATAACACTGTGAAACCATCATTACCATTTATTCCAAAACTTTTCACCCCAAACAGGAACTCATAATTGGTAGAATTGGATTTAGAAGGCAGAACGGAAGGTTTAGACCTCCAATTGAGAAGGCATTTAAAGTTTATCCTTGGGGCAGACTCTGCATCAAATGCATAATAATGTTAGATAAAAATAGAAATTATGAGAATAAAAGGCACATTAAAGCCAAAAAAAACAAGAAAATATTCTCTATGGATCATCAATAAAGAGAAAGAAACACCAATAAGTAAAGCTAAAGCTAAAGCAATGACCTGCTGCTCTCTGAACTCAAAATCAGGAAGTGGATTTAGAAATTAGTCTCCCACAGGGAAGCTACACTTTATATATATATATATATATATATATATATATATATATATATATACTCATGTGTATATACTATATATATACACACATATATATACTATATGTACACATACATACATATATATATATACACACATATATATGTGCGTGTGTGTATATATATATAGTTTACCTGCCTGCAGGTTTTCTCTGGCATTTTAAACCCTATTTGTCACCCATGCAGTAAGCCAGAAATGTGAAGGAATTAACTTTTTTCAGGGTAGCCCTCAATGAATGTATGACAGAAACTGGTGAATAAATACTTCAGCTCCCTTAATTCTTCAGGGGCTTAAATCTGAGGTCCATATTTTACACTAGGTTTTAGTATTCCTCAGAAGAATTATGTTTTATTAACCTGCAGTGAAGTGATAATTTGCTTAATAATAAACCCTTTTGGCTACTTTCCCTTATCCACCTCACTTTTTCCTTCCCATTGCAATATTTTTAAAATATTACTTCCAAAATAAACAATTTAAACTGGAATCTTTGCTTTAAAGTTTGGTTCTGGAAAAGCACAAACTAAGACGTACTGTTATAGACTGAAGATACCAGGGAGCCAAGTAAAGGTAAGTAACTCTATACCTCTCTCTAACTGCTAGAAAGGGAGAGGTATAGAGAGGAAAAAAAGAGAAAAATATCTCCAATTCAAAAAGCTAAAAAATAATAATAATAATTGAGTAGTCTTAAAAGACTTTAAAATATGTGTGTTTAGGAGACTCCTAGAGATAAATGAATAATTAAAATTTATAGTAAGAATAACAAAACAAGGAGGCAGAAACAAAACAAGGAGGACATGAATATTAATCTATTATAAATATTAGAAAGAAAAATTTTAGTAATTATAAACGAGTATTAATGTACAGGTAAACATTTGACTAGACCTTAAAGAGAGAATTATAAAACTGGAAGATAGTATTGAGGAATTCACCCATTATGCAGGACAGAAGAAAATCCTTAAAGAATATAAAAAGGGGATTAAAAAGATGATACACAAATACCTTCCAAGATGGCCGAATACGAACAGCTCCGGTCTGCAGCTCCCAGTGTGATCGACACAGAAGATGGGTGATTTCTGCATTTCCAACTGAGGCACCTGGTTCGTCTCACTGGGACTGGTTGGACAGTGGGTGCAGCCCACGGAGGGCTAGCTGAAGCAGGGCGGGGCATCTTTTCACCCTGGAAGCACAAGGGGCCGGGGCATTTCCCTTTCCTAGCCAAGGGAAGCCTTGGCAGACCACCTGGAAAAACGGGACACTCCCCACCCAAATACTGTGCTTTTCTGAAGGTATTAGCAATCTGCAGACAAGGTGATTCTCTCCCCGTGCCTGGATCAGCAGGTCCCACACCCATGGAGCATTGCTCACTGATAGTGCAGCAGTCTGAGATCCATCTGTGAGTCGGCAGCCTGGCTGGGGGAGGGGCATGTGCCATTGCTGAGGCTTGAGTAGGCCAGGAAGCTCAAAATGGGCGAAGCCCACCACAGCTCAACAAGGCCTACTGCCTCTAGCCTCCACCTCTATGGTCAGGGAATAGCTGAACAAAAGGCAGCAGACAACTTCTGCAGACTTAAACGTCCCTGTCTGACAGCTGTGAAGAGAGCAGTGGTTCTCCCAGCACAGCATTTGAGCTCTGAGAAAGGACAGACTGCCCCCTCAAGTGAGTCCCTGGCCCCATGTAGCCTAACTGGGAGACACCTCCAAGAAGGGGCTGACAGACACCTCATATAGGCGGCTTCCCCTCTGGGAAGAAGCTTCCAGAGGAAGGATCAGGGAGCAATATTTGCTGTTCTGCAGCCTCCACTGGTAATACCCAGGCGAACAGGGTCTGGAGTAGAACTCCAGCAAACTCCAACAGACCTGCAGCTGAGGGACCTGTTAGAAGGAAAACTAACAAACAGAAAGGAATAGCATCAACATCAACAAAAAGGTCATCTTCACCAAAACGCCATCTGTAGGTCACCAACATCAAAGACCAAAGGTAGATAAAACCACAAAGATGGGGAGAAACCAGAGCAGAAAAGCTGAAAATTTTAAAAATCCGAGCATCTCTTCTCCTCCAAAGGATTGCAGCTCCTAGCCAGCAATGGTACAAAGCTGGACGGAGAATGACTTTGATGAGCTGACAGAAGTAGGCTTCGGAAGATAGGTAATAACAAACTTCTCTGAGCTAAAGGAGGATGTTTGAACCCATCGCAAGGAAGCTAAAAACCTTGAAAAAAAGATTAGACGAATGGCTAACTAGAATAAACACTGTAGAGAAGACCTTAAATGACCTGATGGAGCTGAAAACCATGGCACAAGAACTACGTGACACATGCACAAGCTTCAATAGCTGATTCGATCAAGTGGAAGAAAGGGTATCAGTGATTGAAGATCAGATTAATGAAATAAAGTGAGAAAACAAGGTTAGAGAAAAAAGAGTAAAATGAAACGAACATAGCCTCCAAGAAATATGGGACTATGTGAAAAGACCAAATCTACATTTGATTGGTGTACCTGAAAGTGATGGGGAGAATGGAGCCAAGTTGGAAAACACTCTGCAGTATATTATGCAGGAGAACTTCCACAACCTCGCAAGGCAGGCCAACATTCAACTTCAGGAAATACAGAGAACAACACAAAGATACTCCCTGAGAAGAGCAACCCCAAGACACATAATTGTCAGACTCACCAAGGTTGAAATGAAGGAAAAAGTGTTAAGGGCAGCCACAGAGAAAGGTCGAGTTACCCACAAAGGGAAGCCCATCAGACTAACAGTGGATGTCTTGACAGAAACCCTACAAGCCAGAAGAGATTGGCGGCCAATATTCAACATTCTTAAAGAAGAGAATTTTCAACCCAGAATTTCATATCTAGCCAAATTAAGCTTCATAAGAGAAAGATAAATGAAATACTTTACAGACAAGCAAATGTTGAGAGATTTTGTCACCACAAGGCCTGCCTTAGAAGAGCTCCTGAAGGAAGCACTTAACATGGAAAGGAAAAACTGGTATTAGCCACTGCAAAAACATACCAAATTGTAAAGACCATCAATACTATGAAGAAACTGTATCAACTTATGGGCAAAACAACCAGCTAGCATCATAATGACAGGAAAAAATTCACACATAACAATATTAACCTTAAATGTAAATGGGCTAAATGTCCCAATTAAAAGACACAGACTGGCAAACTGGATAAAGAGTCAAGACCCCTTTGTGTGCTCTATTCAGGAGACCCTTCTCACGTGCAAAGATGCACCTAGGCTCAAAATAAAGGGATGGAGGAAGATCTACCAAGCAAATGGAAAGCAAAAAAAAAGCAGGGGTTGCAATCCTACTCTATGATAAAACAGACTTTAAACCTACAAAGATCAAAAGAGACAAAGAAGGCCGTTACATAATGGTAAAGGAATAAATTCAACAAGAAGAGCTAACTGTCCTAAATATATATGCACCCAATACAGGAAGACCCAGATTCACAAAGCAAGTCCTTAGAGACCTACAAAGAGACGTAGACTCCCACACATTAATGGGAGATTTTAACACCCCACTGTCAATATTAGACAGATCAATGAGACAGAAGTTTAACAAGGATATCCAGGACTTGAACTCAGCTCTGCATCAAGTGGACCTAATAGAACTCTCCATCCCAAATCAACAGTATATACACTCTTCTCAGCACCACATCACACTTATTCCAAAATTGAACACATAATTGGAAGTAAAACACTCCTCAGCAAATGTAAAAGAACAGGAATCACAACAAAACTGTCTCTCAAACCACAGTGCAATCAAGTTAGAACTCAAGACTAAGAAACTCCCTCAAAAATGCACAACTACATGGATACTGAGTAACTTGCTCCTGAATGACTACTGGGAAAATAACGAAATGAAGGCAGAAATAAAGACGTTCTTTGAAACCAATGAGAACAAAGACACAACGTACCAGAATATCTGGGACACATTTAAAGTAGTGTGTAGGGGGAAGATTATAGCACTAAATGTCCACAAGAGAAATCAGGAAACATCTAAAATCAACACTCTAATATCACAATTAAAAGAAGTAGAGAAGCAAGAGCAAACATATTCAGAAGGCAAGAGATAACTAAGATCACGGCAGAACTGAAAAACATAGAGACACAAAAAACCCTTCAAAACATCAATGAATCCAGGAGCTGGCTTTTTGAAAAGATCAACAAAATTGGTAGACCACTAACAAGGCTAATAACGAAGAAAAGACAGAAGAATCAAATAGACGCAATAAAAAATGATAAAGGGGATATCATCACCGATCCCACGGAAACACAAACTATCATCGGAAAATACTATAAACACCTCTACACAAATAAACTAGAAAAACTAGAAAAAATGGATAAATTCCTGGACACATACACTCTCCCAAGTCTAAACCAGAAAGACTTGAATCTCTGAATAGATCAATAACAGGCTCTGAAATTGAGGCAATAATTAGTAGCCTACCAGCCAAAAAAAAATGCAGGACCAGACAGATTCACAGCCGAATTCTACCAGAGGTACAAAGAGGAGCTGGTACCATTCCTTCTGAAACTACTCCAACCAATAGAAAAAGAGGGAATCCTCCCTAATTCATTTCATGAGGCCAACATCATCCTGATAGCAAAGCATGGCAGAGACACAACAAGAAAAGAGAATTTTAGACCAATATCCCTGATGAACATCGATGCAAAAATCCTCAATAAAATACTGGCAAACCGAATCCAGCAGCACACCAAAAAGCTTATCCACCACGATCAAGTGGGCTTTATCCCTGGGATGCAAGGCTGGTTGAATGCATGCAAATCAATAAATGTAATCCATCACATAAACAGAACCAAAGACAAAAACCACATGATTGTCTCAATAGATGCAGAAAAGGCCTTTGACAAAATTCAACAGTCCTTCATGCTAAATATCTCAATAAACTAGACATTGGTGGAACATATCTCAAAATAATAAGAGCTATTTATGACAAACCCACAGCCAATATCATACTGAATGGGCACACACTGGAAGCATCCCTTTGAAAACCAGCACAAGACAAGGCTGCCCTCACTCACCACTCCTATTCAACATAGTGTTGGAAGTTCTGGCTAGGGAAATCAGGAAAGAGAAAGAAATAAAGGGTATTCAATTAGGAAAAGAGGAAGTAAAGTTGTCCCTGTTTGCAGATGACATGATTGTATATTTAGAAAACCCCATCGTCTCACCCCAAAATCTCCTTAAGCTGATAAACAACTTCAGCAGAGTCTCAAGATACAAAATCAATGTGCAAAAATCACAAGCATTCCTACACGTAATTAACAGATATACAGAGAGCCAAATCATGAGTGAAATCCCATCCACAATTGCTACAAAGAGAATAAAATATGTAGGAATCCAACTCACAAGAGATGTGAAGGACCTCTTCAAGGAGAACTACAAACCACTGCTCAATGAAATAAAAGAGGACACAAACATATGGAAGAATATTCCATGCTCCTGGATAGGAAGAATCAATATCGTGAAAATGGCCATACTGCCCAAAGTAATTTATAGATTCAGTGCCATCCCCATCAAGCTACCAATGACTTTCTTCACAGAATTGGAAAAAAACTACTTTAAATTTCATATGGAACCATAAAAGAGCCTGCATTGCCAAGGCAATCCTAAGCCAAAAGAACAAAGCTGGAGGCATCATGCTACCTGACTTCAAACTATACTACAAGGCTATAGTAACCAAAAATAACCAAAACAGCATAGTACTGGTACCAAAACAGAGATATAGAACAATGGAACAGAACAGAGCCCTCAGAAATAGTGCCACATATCTACAACCATCTGATCTTTGACAAACCTGAAAAACAAGCAATGGGGAAAGAATTCCCTATTTAATAAATGGTGTTGGGAAAACTGACTAGCCATATGCAGAAAACCGAAACTGGATCCCTTTCTTACAACTTATACAAAAATTAATTCAAGATGGATTAAAGACTTAAATGTTAGACCTAAAACCATAAAAACCCTAGAAGAAAACCTAGGCAATACCATTCAGGACATAGGCATGGGCAAGGACTTCATGACTAAAACACCAAAAGCAATGGCAACAAAAGCCAAAATAGACAAATGGCAACTAATTAAACTAAAGAGCTTCTGCATGGCAAAAGAAACTACCATCAGAGTGAACAGGCAACCTACAGAGTGGGAGAAAGTTTTCCAATCTACCCATCTGACAAAGGGCTAATATCCAGAATCTACAAAGAACTCAAACAAATTTATAAGAAAAAGACAACCCCATCAAAAAGTGGCCAAAAGATATGAACAGACACTTCTTAAAAGAAGACATTTATGCAACCAAAAGACACATGAAAAAATGCTCATCATTACCAGTCATCAGAGAAATGCAAAGCAAAACCATAATGAGATACCATCTCACACCAGTTAGAATGGCAATCATTTAATGGATTTAATCATTTAATCATTAAGTCAGGAAACAACAGATGCTGGAGAGAATGTGGAGAAATAGGAACACTTTTACACTGTTGGTGGGAGTGTAAATTGGTTCAACCATTGTGGAAGACAGTGTGGTGATTCCTCAAGGATCTACAACTAGAATTACCATTTGACCCAGCAATCCCATTACTGGGTATATACCCAAAGGATTATAAATCATGCTGCTATAAAGACACATGCAGATGTATGCTTATTGCGGCACTATTCACAATACCAAAGACTTGGAACCAACCCAAATGCCCATCAATGATAGACTGGATTAAGAAAATGTGGCACATATACACCATGGAATACTATGCAGCCATAAAAAAGGATGAGTTCATGTCTTTTGCAGGGACATGGATGAAGCTGAAAACCATCATTTTCTGAAGAACAGAAAACCAAACATGGCATGTTCTCACTCATAATTGGGAGTTGAACAATGAGAACACATCACACACTCGGGCCAGTCAGGGGGTGGGTGGCTAGGGGAGGGATAGCATTAGGAGAAATACCTAATGTAGATGACGGGTTGGTGGGTGCAGCAAACAACCATGCCACGTGTTTACCTATGTAAAAATCCTGCACGTTCTGCACATGTATCCCAGAACGTAAAGTATAATAAAAAAAATTTTTAAAGAGTACTTCAAAAATAATAATATTGAGTCTTCTGAACAATAAACATAGCATATCTTTCCACTTATTTAGATCTTTAACTTTTCTTAGCAGTGTTTCATAGTTTTCAGTCTCGCACAGGTTATGTCAGATTTATTTCTAAATATTTCATATTTTTGATGCTATTATAAATGGAATTATATGTTTTATTTTAATTTCTGATTGTTCACTGCTAGTACATAGAAATACAATTGAGTTTACATTTTGTTCTTGTAAAAAAAGAAAGAAAGAAAGAAAGAAATGGCATCTGGTCATCTACTTTAAGTGGAAAAAAAAATGGCCTGAAGTAAGAATGTATACATATTTCTAAACAGTGGTCAAAGGCCTACCTACATAATTAGAAGTCTGAAAGGAAAACAACTGGAAGATGGAAGACAAAGGAGTTTTGTGTAGAGGTATGTTGACATATACATGTGAATGAGCATTAAGTGGAAGGATTTTTGCATTATGTATTAATACCCATTAGAAATCATCTTCATGAAGATGCACTGAACAAACATACAGACAAAATGACTAATCCAGCTGGCATTAGCTAAATTTTGTATTTTGACCACCACAGAGCTGGCATCATGGGCACATGCATAGAATGAGCAAGGTGGCAGAGATAGAGGTTAGGCATAGGCTCAACAGCACTGACTCTATCTTATCAAGATCTACCTAGCTATTGCTGCCTCTCTAGGTCCAACCTGCAGGCAGCAAAATTATTACTAAATCCTAATAATATACTATTCTTCAAGGAGAGCAGTCAGCCACTTGGTGGTTAGTTGAATGCACTGGGCTCTTTTTCTCCTGGAAGAGTCAATGGTTCAACCTTTTAGAGAGAAATGTCTACGCTAGATATGGGTTTACCTTTCCTGTCCATGAAGACTCAACCGCATCACTATAGGGGAGCTTACATAATACTTGTGAGGTTTGAGAGTGGGTCTATGAGTATGAGATCTACTGGTCATATCACACACCACATAATCTAGAATCAGCCAGTACGACAGAACTGTGGAATGATCGGCTTAAGACACAGGTGAAATGACAGCTTGCCAGCAACACTCTACAAGGATAGGATTCTATTTTTAAGGATGCAATATATGAATTATAGCAGAGACTTCTATATGGTACAATGTCCCCAATAGAAATGAAACATTGTTCTGGGAACCAAGGAGTAGAAGCAGGATGGCCCCACTTATCGACACTCCAAAGGACCCACTAGAGTACTTTGTGTGCCTGTTTCCACAACTCTCAGCTCTTCAGGATTGTATGTCTGGATCCCCAATGAATTTACTTTTCTTTGGGATTACAAACATGGTCATGTTGAACTGCAAGCTACAGCTTCCACCTGGATTCTTTAGACTCCTTGTATACAGGGACTAGAAGATGAGGAGTCAACACTGTCAGTGGGTTATTGACCCTGATCAGCAGGAGGAGAATAGGCTCCTTTTACACAATGATGTCAGAGATAAAATGTGCGACACTTAGGTAATGCTTTTTATCACTTTTTAGTACTTCCATACCTATTGTGACATATTCAACAACTCTGAGAAAGGAATGGTTATCAAGGACTCAGTCATTTTAGGAAAAAATTGTTGGGTCCAATGACCAGGCAATCCATCAAGAACTGCTGAGTTTATAATAGAAGTGGGAGATAAATAGCAGTTGTGGCCTAAGACTAAATACAGAGATCACAGCAGCAGATTGTCCCATTTAGCTCTCCCTTCTGTGTTTCTCTGCAGTAATAAAGGCTGACAGGAAACATGGATGAGATGCTCCATAAACATATACGGAGAAATAGAAATGTGCAGCTCAAGAGATTATATACAGTAGCATGGAGATGCACCACTCAGATCTCTTTCAATAGAATTTGAAGCAAAGATCATAGTTTACACTGCTACTCCAATGAATTCTGAAACTACACTTACCTAGTGCTGCTCTAAGTCAGTGAAGAAATACAGTGGGCTAGTAATGCTGGCTCATTCTTGCCCTTAGGGGCTCTATATAAGCCTGCTGAAACTTCACCAGAACTGTGCTGTGGCATGAGATTTTCTCATGCAATCCTTTCTTCCCTCTCTTCTTTTGAAGGTATCATACTTGAATCACAATCTTAAAGCTCTTTTTGCCTACTCATGCTTCCTCTTCCATTATTTTTATATTTAACATTCATTTTTCAAGGATGTTTCACCAATAAATTTCATTCACATCTAGTCCTATCCTGCCATGTGCTCCTCAGAAGATGAAAAATGGCATACAGGACATGGCAATTACTCCTCTACATATGGAGATTAAATGTCTATCAAACTCACCCATCTACCAAGTAATAAAAGACTAATAATTTTTAAAATTTTATATGAAGGAATCAAAGAATTATCAGGAACATGATCCTGGACAAAAAGAAAACACTTATAGGTAAGCCTCACATTCACACTGCTTCACATTACAAGGCATTTTTCAATTCGTAAATCCTAGCCAAGTGGTCAGGAAGCTAAACAGAGACTTTGGATATCTCAATTAACAGGTGAAGCAAAAGTTATAGCTCAGGGCCCACCAAGGTGGAGGATAACCCCCTGGCTTTAAGTTGAGATTGTCAAGTAGATACACTCAAAGAGTAAAATTAAAAATAAGCTCTCAAGAAGATTAAAAGCAACCTTCGTTCAGTTTAATCATTGACTGTATTAAGATAGTCTGACTCTACCGTAACTACCTCCCAGAAACAAAAGTTAATCATCTCCAGAAGAAGATATCACAATTAAGAGCCTGAAATTATATTTGCAACTTTTTATACAATGTCCAAGATTCATGAAAAAAATTGTAAGATATACAGATTTTTTAAATGACCAAAATATCAGAGAAAAATACTCAAAAGAACATATTCACACCAGTTTCAGATATTGAAGTTATCAGAAAGAGACTTTAAAATAACTGTGAAAAATGCACTCAAAAAATAGTGAACAAAATAAAGAATTTTATCAGAGAACTAGAGTCAATAAAAAAGAATCAAATGTAAATTCTATAACTGAAAAATTAAAATTAAGAATTTAGGAGACGTACGTACCAATGGAGAGTGAAAAACATGATTATTGAAATGGAAGCTAAGTCATAGAAAAATATTCAGACCGAAGGATAAGAGAAAGAGATGAAAAACATAAAGAGAGAGAGAGGAACAGAGACAAAGTAAACAGAGAGAGATCAAGAAAGAGGAAATAAGCTATAAACAGGATATCATGGAAAGATATAATGTATTTTCAATTGGTGTCCCATGCAGAAAGAAGAGATTGGGGCAGAAGTATTACTTTAAAAGAAAATATAATAGATAATTGCCAAGAATTTTTCTAAACTAAAGAAAGATGTCATCAAGCCACAGATTCAAGAAGTACTAAAAATCTCAAGAATATGCCTACAAATAAGATCACACCCAGGCATGTTCATAGCAAAAGTGCTTTAAATAAAATTCAAAGAGAAAAACTTAAAAATCACAGAGAGAAAAACACACTACCTCTAAGTGGAATCAAGGAAAGCCACACAACAATAACATAACATTCTTAAAATATTAAAAGGAAATAATTTCCAACCAAAAACTTAACAGCCAATCAATTTATGTTTTTAGGTAGAGGCAACATAAGACATTTCAGGCAAAGAAAATTTGAGGGAATTTATGACCAGCCAAAGTAAAACCCTAACTAATAGAAATATATTTTTTTCAAGTAGAAGGAAAATGATCTCAGATGGTGAGAAAAATGAAATGCAGAAATAAAGAGCAATAAAAAGTAAAATTATTTAAATAACTTTGAGTAAATATTGATTTTATGAACAATGACAATAATGCTTTTTGAGATTTAAGAGATTTGAAGTAATGCTTAACAGAATGTAATAAAACAAAAGGCTAGAGTGTGCCATTCTGAAGACCCTAAATTATCTGACTATTGAAAATATATTAATTTATATGATATTTTAATAAGTCGATAATTCACATTGTCACCTCTGGGATGAAAAATATATTAGAAAAAGTATTTAGTTAGCAAGCTAATGGGGGGGAAACTGTTAACGACAAAACACACACACAAACAAACAATTCAAATGTAATGCAAAAGAAGTTGAGAAAAAAGATAAACTACAACAGATGTGACAAAGAAAACATATAACAATATAACTAGTTTAAACCCAAACAGATGATTAAATATGTTAAAATATAATAGATTAAATGGTCAAATTAAAAGACAAAGATTATCATGTTGGAAAAAAGTACATGTAGCTTACATGAGATATAATTTAAATATAGAGATTAGAAAGTTTGAAAATACTTATTCCTTCTACATAACTATAATTATGAACCTATTAACCAACCTCTGCCAATAGCACAGTAGGGTGACCATAGTTATCAATAATTTATTGTATGTTTCAAAATAGCTAAAAGAGCATTTCAAATGTCCTCAACACAAAGAAATAAATGATGGAAGTGAAGGGTATCCCAGTTACCCCGATGACACAATGTATGCATGTATCAAATATTACCTGCATCCCATAAATACATACAATTATTATGTGTCAATTAAAAATGATTTTCTTTATTTTTGGAAGTAAAAACATGGAAAAGATGACCCATAAAAATGTGAACAAAAGAATAGCTGTATAGCTATACTGATAACATGAGATTGAATTTAAGAAAATAAATATTACTGTAAGTAAAATAGGATGCTCCAAAATAATAAAAGTATCAGTTCACAACAAATATATCGTTCTAAATTGATGTGTATCTAATCATAATGTCAATATATGTGAGGCAAAAGCTGACAGAACTAAAAAAAGTAGATATTCACAATTAGAGTAATTTTAATGAGTCTCAGTAATTGATTAAACAAATCATAAAGATATAGATGATTCCATTAACAAGATAAATCTAGTGAAATATGTAGAAAACATCAGTCAGAAATGCAGGATACATTTCTAAATATGAATAAATTAAACAAGACACTCTTTAACAAACATTGGGTCAAAATGGAATTCAAAAGGGAAATTAGAAAATATCTCAAGACAAACAAAAACAAAAACACAACATACCAAAATGTAAAGGATACAGCTAAAGCAGTACTAAGAATATAGCTTATAGTAATAAGTGTCCACATTGAAACACAAGAATTATCTCAAATTAAAACCCTAACTTTACATTTCAAGTAAATAAATAAATGAATAAACTAAGGCCAACGTTAGCAGGAAGAAGAAAATAATAAAGAATAGAAATAATAAATAGAGAATAACACAATAGAAAACCAACAAAACGAAGAATAATTTGAATAGATTTTAAAAATCAGAAAACTTTTAACTAGACCAATAAAAAAAGACAGAAGACTTAAATAAGTAAAATCAAAAGTAAGAGTCATTACAACAGATGCCACAGGAATAAAAAATAATACTTCTAATTTTACAAAGCCAGCATTACCTTGACACCAAAGCTGAAAGGTCACTGCCGATGAAAATAGATGCAAAAATCCTCAACAAAGTATTTGGAAATTGAATTTAGCAACACATTAAAAGAATCATTCACCGTGTTCAAGTGGAATTTATCCCTGGCATGCAAGGATGATTCAACCATCACAAATCAATATATGTGATACATCACATTAACAAAATGAAAACTAAAAATTGTATTATCATATCAATAGATGCAAAAAAAGAATATAACAAAATTCAGCCAACTTTTATGATAAAAACTCTCAACATATTAGGTATAGAAGACATATACCTCAACAGAGTAAAGACCATAGATAACAAACACATAGCTAATATCACTCTTGATGTTGAAAAGTAGAGAGCTTTTTGTCTGAGATCATGGACAGGACAATAAAGCCCACTGTGACCACGTCTTTTCAATGTAGTATTGAAAGTACTACCCAGAGTAATTAGGCAAGAAAAAGCGATAAAAGACTTTCTAATAGAAAAGGAAGAAGTGAAAATTTCTCTATTTGCTGATGACACGATCTTATGTATGGAAACTCTAAAGACTTCACACACAAAAAACTGTTAGAACTGAAAAACTAATTCTGGAAAGTTGCAGAATACAAAATCAACATACAAAAATCAGTAGCATTTCTATACACTAGTAGCAAATAATTGGAATGATAACAAAAAAATATTTTAACAACAACAAAAAATACACCCTAATGTGTAAATTTAATCAAAGAGGTAAAAGACCTGTATAATGAAAACAATAAAACATAGAAAACATTGAAAAAATAGAAAATAAAAATGGAATGATATTTCATATTCAGGGATTAGAAAATTAACATTGTAAAAATGTTCACACTACCCAAGGCAATCTACAGATTCAATGGAAATCTTGGCAGGATTCCAATGTCGTTTTTTACAGAATTTAAAAAAAAAAAAACTTAAATTTGTATGGAACTACAAAAACTCTGAATAGCCAAAACAATCTTTAGCAAAAATAACAAAGCTGGAGGCATCACACTCACTAATTTCAAAACATATAATGAAGCGATTTTAATCAAGACAGCATGATTAATTACAAAGAAAAGGACATATCAACTTTTGAAACAGAATTAGAAAGCAGGAAATAAACCCACAAATTTATGTTCAATTGATTTTTGACAAATGTGTCAAGAACACACAATTAGGAAAAAGTATTTTCAATGAATGGTGCTGAGGAAAACTGGGTATCCACATGAAGAATAATGAAACTGATCCCTCTATCTCTCAACATAAACAAAAATAAACTCAAAATGGATTAAAACTTAAATCTAAGACCTGAACCTATGACACGACTAAAAGAAAACTTAGGAGGAATGCTTTATAAAAGTATACTGGGCAACAACTTTTTTTGATATGACCCCCAAAACACAGGCAATAAAAGCAAAAATTGGCAAATGGGATGCCATCAAACTAAAATAACTTCTGCACACCAAAAGAAACAATAAACAAAGTAAAGAGGCAACCTACAGTGTGTGAAATAATTTCTGCAAACTATACATTTGATAAGGGAATAATATTCAAGATATATAAGGATCTCAAACAACGCAATAGCAAGAAAACAAATAAATCAAATAAAAAATAGACTAAGGGCCTGAAAAGACAATTTGCAAAAGAAGACATATAAATGACCAATAAATATATGAAAAAAATGCTCAGCATCACTAATCATTAGGAAAATGCAAATGAAAACCAATATGAGATATCACCTAACACCTGCTAATATGTCATTGATCAAAAAGATGGAAGGAAACAAGTGTTGGTGAGGATGTGGAGAAACTTGTACATTGTTGGTGGGAAAGTACATTAGTACAGCCATTATGGAAAACAGTATGGTGATTCCTCAAAAACTAAAAATACAATAGCCATATGATTCAGTAATCGCCCTAGTGGCTATATTTCCAATGGAACTGAAATCAGTACAACTAAGGGATATCTGCACTGCCATGTTCATTTCAGAATTATTTCCAATAGTCAATGCCATGGTTTGGATATTTGTTTTATGAGAGTTTTTTTCAACTTTTATATTAGGTTCAGAGGATACTGTGCAGGTTTGTTACATGAGTAAATAGTGTGTCATTGGGGTTTGGTGGACAGTTTACTTCATCACACAGGTAGTGAGCCTAATACCAATAGGTAGTATTTTGGTCCTTACCCTTCCCCAACTCTCCACCCTCAAGTAGGCACTGGTGTCTATCATTCCCTTCTTTGTGTCCATGTGTACTCAATGTTTAGCCCCAATTATAAGTGAGAACAAGTTATATTTGGTTTTCAGTTCATGCATTAGTTTGCTTAGGCAATGGCCTCCAGCTCCATTCACGTTCCTGCAAAATACATGATTTCATTCTTTTTATGGCTGCATAGTATTCCGTGGCATGTATGTACCATATTTTCCTTATCCAGTTCACCATTGATGGGCATCTAGGTTGATTCTATGTCTTTGCTATTGTGAACAGTGCTGTGATGAACATATGTGTGCATGTGTCTTTATGGTAGAACAATTTATATTCCTTTGGTGGTATATCAAGTAATGGGATTGCTGGATAAAATGGTAGTTCTGTATTAAGTTATTTGAGTAATCTCCAAACTGCTTTCCACAGTGGCTAAACTAATTTACATTTACACCAACAGTGTATAACCATTCCCTTTTTTCTGAAACCTTGCTACCATTTGTAATTTTTTGACTTTTTAATAATAGCTGTTCTAACTGCTGTGACTTGGTATCTCATTAAGGTTTTGATTTGCATTTCTCTAATGATTAGTGATGTTGAGGTTTTTTTATATGCTTGACGGATGCATGTATGTCTTCTTTTGAAAAGTGTCTGTTCTTGTCCTTTGCCTATTTTTTTTAAACAGAGTAGTTTGTTTTTTTGCTTGTCGATTTAAGTTCCTTATAGATTGTGTATATTAGACCTCCATCAGATGCATAGTTTGCAAACATATTCTTTCATTCCCTAGGTTGTGTGTTTACTCTGTTGATAGTTTCCTTTGCTGTGTAGAAGCATGTTCGTTTAATTTCTGGTGGGTTTCTTGTGGTATTTTATTGTGGTTTAATTTGCATCACCCTGATGACTAATAAGGTTGGCTACTTATTTGTAGGTTTAATGGCTATATTATTACTGTCTTTTGTGAAGTATCCGTTCAAATATCTTGTCTATTTTTCCCCAGAGTGTCTATTTTTTTATCAAAGGGTACAAAGTTTCAGACAGACTGAAGAAATAAGCTTTAAGATATATTGCACAGCAGGGTGACTATACTCAATAATAATGTATATCTCAAAATAACTAAAGGAGTTTAAATGCCTCACCAAAAAAAAAAAAATGATGAGTGAAGTGATGGCTATGTTAATTAGATTAATTTTTTATATTATATATACACATATATGTATTAGTATCACATTATACCATTTAAATGTATATAATTATAATTTATCAATCAAAAATATTAATAATAAAAATTAAAAATAAGACCTTTTTTAAATAATATGAGTTTATTAAAGTATCAAAAGGAAAGGCACAGGGAAACAATATATTTACAATATAATAAAGATATCATATTGAGAATATGTAAATAATTTGCACAAGTAAATAGGAAAAAGATAGACACTGTAGAAAATATAGGCAAGATATTTGAACAGACACTTTACAAAAGACAATAATAATATAGCCATTAAGCCTATAAATAAGTAGTCAACCTTATTAGGAAGCTTACAGTCATGGTGGAAGGCAAAGGAGAGTAGGCACCTTCTTCACAAGGAGGCAGGAGAGAGAGCACGCACAGAGGAAAAATTGCCACTTTTAAAACCATGAGATCTCATGAAAACTCCCTCACTATCATGAGAACATGAAAGCATGGGGGAAACTGCCCCCATGATACAATCACCTCCCACCAGATCCCTTCCTCTACATGTGGAGATTACAATTCAAAATGAGATTTGGGTGGGGACAAAGAGCGGAATCATATTAACATACAAATAGTAAAACATCCAATGCTCATGAATAAAAGAATCAATATTGTTAGAATGACTATATTGTCCAAAGCACTCTACAGATTCAATGCAATTCCTATCAAATTACCAACATCAATTTCCACAGAATTAGAAAACACAGTTCTAAAATTCATATTGGGATGGGCATGGTGGCTCACACTCGTAATCTCAGCACTTTTGGAGAGCAAGGCAGGCAGATAGATTGAGCCCAGGAGTTCAAGACCAGCCTTGACAACATGGCAAAACCCCATTTCTACAAAAAAATAGAAAAAATAGCTGGGCGTACTAGCATTCACCTGTAGGCCCAGCTACTCAGCAAGCTGAGGTGGGAAGATTTCTTGAGCCCTGGAGGCAGAGGTCCCAGTGAGCCAAGATTGTACCACTGCATTCCAGCCTGGGTGACAGAGCAGGACTCTGTCTCAAAAATAAAAATAAATATCTTGTAGCACCAGGAAAGAGCCTGAATAGCTAAAGCGGTTCTAAGCAAAAATAACAAAGCTGGAGGCATCACATTACCTGACTTCAAACTATGCTACAAGACTATAGTAACCCAAACAGCATGACCGGTACAAAAATGGACACACAGGTCAATGAAACAGAGAACCCAGTAATAAGGTCACATCAGTACAACCAAGTGATCTTTGACAAAGTCCACAAAAATAGACAGTAAGGAAAGGACACCCTATTCAATAAATGATGCAGGGAAAACTGGCTAGCCATATTCAGAAGAATGAAACTGGACTCCTGTCTTCCACCACATACCCAAACTAACTCAAGATGGATTAAAGACATAAATGGAAGAACTGAAACTATAAAAATCCTAGGAAAAAAAAAACCTAAGAAAAATCTTCTGAACATTGGCCTAGGAAAATAATTATGATTAAGACCCCAAAAGCAAATGCAATGAAAACAAAAATAGAAGAATAGGACTTAATTAAGCTAAAGAGCTTCTGCACAGCAAAAGAAACAATTGACAGAGTAAACAGACAACCTACAGAATGGAAAAAAATATTTGCAACTTATGCATCAAACAAAGGAATAATATTTAGACTTTATAAGGAAATTATATCAACAAGAAAAGAACAATATTCTCATTAAAAAGTGGGCAAAGGACAGGAACAGATATTTCTCAACAGAAGACATATAAGCAATCAGCATATATAAAAAAAATGGTCAACATCACTTAGCATCAGGGAAATGCAAATTAGAACCACAGTGAGATACCACCTCGCACCAGTCAGAAGGGCTATTACTACAAAGTCAAATGCAGAGAAAAGGAAATGCTTATGCACTGTTGTTGGGAATGTAAACTAGTTTAAACCCTATATAAAACAATATGGAGATTTCTCAAAGAATAAAAAACAAAACTACCTTTTCACCCAGCAATTCCACTACTGTTGAAAACATAAACTAGTTCGACACCTATGGAAAACAGTATAGAGATTTCTCAAAAAATAAACTACCTTTTGACCCAGCAATTCCACTACTGGATATCTATCAAAAGGAAAAGATATATCAAAAAGACATCTGCACTTATATGTTTATTGCAGCACTATTCACAATAGCAAAGTAATGGAATCAAACTAAGTGTCCATCAATAGATGACTGGAAAAAGAAAATGTCGTACATATACACCATGTACATGCACTACAAAGCCATTAGAAAAAGAAGTCATGCATTTTGCAGCAAAATAGATGCAGCTGAAGGCCATTATCGTAAGTGAAATAACTTCAAAACAGAAAATGAAACATCGCACGTCCTTACTTTATAAGTGCGACCTAATCAATGAGTACACATAGACATAAAGATGAAAATAATAGACAGAGAGAACTCCAAAAGAAAGGTGGGAGGGGAAAAAAATTTGAAAAACTACTTATTGGGCACTATGTTCACTACTTTGGTGATGCATTCACTAGAAGCCCAAACCCCACCATTACATAATCTACCCATGTAACAAACCTGCACATACACCCCCGAATGTCTGAGAAAAAATAAAATAAAATAAAAACAAAAATTTGAAAATACACATGATGTTAGGTTAGTAGTTATTAAGGTAAAGAGAACAAACTGTGCTTCTGGGTGCTTGGTAGTGTTCTGTTTCACAGTAGTCTACTTTATGAAAATTTATTCTGTGTTAAATATTAAAAGCAGTTATTATAAATATACTATATCATACAAACTACCTTCTCTGCTACGTAATTGTGGTTTAAGATAATATCATAATGGTAATTATCAAACACATAGAACTGAAAAAAATTTCCACTAACAATTCGTAAGTATAGCCATCCCTCAAGTGTGTTTCATTGTAGTCAGAAAAAATCTCAGGTCTAGAAATTAATTTAAAGTTGTCTCAGATTTGTAGTGTCCTCTTTCAATAGTCATGAAAGTGAAAATCTTTCAGGAATAACTTATTTTCCATTTAGGCCACACAGAATTTCCAAAAATAAAATTCCAATGAAAATGAGAAACATATATTTTAAAATATTAAAACAAACAAGTAAATAAGACACTATGAGAGACAGCAGAAAAAAATAGATAACAGACTTAGAACAATAAAGATTTCAGATACTGAATTGATTAGACAAGAATATTAAAAAAAAAACATGTTTGGTTGGACTCAGTGACTCATGCCTGTAATCTCAGCCCTTTGGGAGGCTGTGGCAGGCAGATCACCTGAGGCCAGGAATTTGAGACTAGCCTGTCCAATATTGGGAGACTCCCCATACTAATACAAAAATTAGTTGTCCATGGTGCTGCACTGTGGTCCCTGCTACTCGGGAGGCTGAGAATCTCCTGAATCCAGGAGGCGGAGGTTGCAGTGAGTTGGGACTGCACCACTGCACTCCAGCCTGCACAACAGAGCAAGACCCTGTCTAAAACAAAGAAAAAAAAGTTTGCTAAGTTTAAATAGATAAAAATAAAAACTTGAAAATATGAGTAAGAAATAACCATACCGAGTTGAAAAGAAACAAACACAATATCGAAAAATAAAAACTATAGACATTGAACGTTAAAATTTAGTGAATGGATTAAACAACAAATAGTTGCACACATCAAAAAGCATTAAAGAACTACACAATACATCCAAATAAATCATCTAAAATATATTTGACAAATATAAAGAAGGGGAAAATATGAAAGAAATACAAAGACATGGAGGATAAAGTGAGACAGTGTAACATATATCTAATCCAAATGCTTAAAGGACATCAGAGAGCTAATGAGGAAATAAAATACACAGAAAGATAATAACTGAGAATATTTCAATATTTTCTTTTTTGAGACAAATTCTGGCTCTATCACCCAGGCTGAAGTGCAGTGGCCCTATCTTAGCTCACTGCAACCTCTGCCTCCTGGGTTCAAGCCATCCTCCCACTTCAGCCTCTCAAGTAGCTGTAACTACAGGCACACACCACCGTGCCTACCTAATCTTTGTATTTTTTGTAGAGACAGAGTTTCGCAACGTTGTCCAAGCTGGTCTCGAACTCATGAGCTTAAGTTACCTGCCTGCCTCAGTGTTACAAAGTGCTCGGATTACTGGCAGAAGCCACCATGTCAAGTCAAATATTTCAAACTTGTTGAAGAATAAAAATCCTCAGATCTAGGAAGCCCAAGAAATCTCACTGAAACTAAACAAATATTATAATCTACTTTATTCTTAGTTTTAGATACATAAATGGTAGGAAAATAAAATTTTCCCAAACTGAGTCAAGGAAATACAAATGTATACATGAATCAAAACATTACATTGTGCCTCAAAAATATATACAATTACTATTTGTCAAAAAAGCCTAAATAGTCCACTAACCTTGAAAATAACAAATCAGGAATTTAAAATTTGCCTACTAGAAAAATAGCACATCCAGTTGGATTTACAGGTGTGCTACTTACATATTCATTCAATGGAATATTACTCTTCTATAAAATGAAATAATTTGAGTTATATGTAACAATATAGATGAATTTTTACCAACATCATGTTGAATAAATAAAATGGGAAAATATTTATAATTCCATTTACCTGAATTTCAAAAGCAGAAAAAATTAAATAACATATTTTTAAATGAAAACTACATAGGAGCTATAAATGTATGGAAAAACAAGAGGGAAATATTATTACAAAATTCAGAGAGCTTTCTTCACCTGGGAGGGAAGGGGATTCAATTAGATGGAGGGAAGGGTATTCAATTAGATAGAGGCATATGACAGACTGTTAAATACTGTTCATATTCCATTTCTTTTTTTATTATTATACTTTAAGTTCTGGGATACATGGGCAGAACGTGCAGGTTTGTTACATAGGAATACATGTGGCATGGTGGTTTGCTGCACCCATCAACCTGTCATCTACATTAGGTATTTCTCCTAATGCTATCCCTCACCTAGCTCCCCAACCCCCAACAGGCCCTGGTGTGTGATGTTCCCTTCCCTGTGTCCACGTGTTCTCATTGTTCAAATCCCACTTACGAGTGAGAACATGTGGTGTTTGGTTTTCTGTTCTTGTGTTAGTTTGCTGAAAATGATGGTTTCCAGCTTCATCCATGTCCTTGCAAAGGACATGAACTCATCCTTTTTTATGGCTGCATAGTATTCCGTGGTGTATATGTGCCACATTTTCTTTATCCAATCTATCATTGATGGACATTTGGGTTGGTTCAAGTCTTTACTATTGTGAACAGTGCCACAATAAACATACTTGTGCATGTGTCTTTACAGTAGAATGATCTATAATCCTTTTGGTATACACCCAGTAATGGAATTGCTGGGTCAAATGGTATTTCTAGTTCTAGATACTTGAGGAATTGGCACACTGTCTTCCACAATGGTTGAAGTAATTTACACTCCCACCAACAGAGAAAAGTTCACAGTAGTCTACTTTATGAAAATTTATTCCGTATTAAATATTAAAAGGAGTTATTATAAATATACTATATCACACAAACTACCTTCTCTGCTACATAACTGTGATTTAAGATAATGTCATAATGGTAATTATCAAATACATAGAACTGAAAAAAATTTCCAATGATAATTCATAAGTATAGCGATCCCCCATGTGTGTTTCTGTGTAGTCAGAAAGATCTCAGATCTAGAATTTAATTTAAAGTTGTCTCAGATTTGTAGTGTCCCCATTCAATAGTCTAAGGAAAGTGAAAATCCTTCAGGAATAATTCATTTTCTATTGAGGCCACACAGAATTTCCAAAAATAAAATTCCAATGAACAGTACAAAAGCGTTACTATTTCTCCACATCCTCTCCAGCATCTGTTGTTTCCTGACTTCTTAATGATCACCAAGCTGGTGTGATATGGTATCTCATTAGGGTTTTGATTTGCATTTTTCTAATGACTAGTGATTATGAGCTTTTTTCATATTTGTTGGCTACATTAATGTCTTCTTTTGATAAGTGTCTGTTCATATCCTTTGCCCACTTTTTGATGGGGTTGTTTTATTCTTATAAATTTGTTTAAGTTCTTTGTAGATTCTGGATATTAGCCATTTGTCAGATAGACAGATTATAAAAAATTTCTCTCATTCTGTAGGTTGCGTGTTCACTCTGATGATAGTTTATTTTGCTGTGCAGAAGCTCTTTAGTTTAATTAGATACGATTTGTCTATTTTGGCTTTTGTTGCCATTGCTTTTGGTGTTTTAGTCATGAAGTCTTTGCCCATGCCTATGTCCTGAATGGTATTGCCCAGGTTTTCTTCTAGGGTTTTTACGGTTTTAGGTCTTACATTTAAGTCTTTAATCAATCTTGAGTTAATTTTTTATAAGGTGTAAGGAAGGGATCCAGTTTCAGTTTTCTGCATATGGCTAGTCAGTTTTCCCAACACCATTTATTAAATAGGGAATTCTTTCCCCATTGCTTCTTTTTGTCAGGTTTGTCAAAGATCAGATGGTTGTATATGTGTGGTGTTATTTCTGAGGACTCTGTTATGTTCCATTGGTATATACATCTGTTTTGGTACCAATACCATGCTGTTTTGGTTACTGTAGCCTTGTAGGACAGTTTGAAATCAGGTAGCAAGATGCCTCCAGCTTTGTTCTTTTTGCTTAGAATTGTTGTGGCTATGTGGGCTCTTGGTTCCATATGAAATTTAAAGTAGTATTTTCCAATTCTGCAAAGAAAGTCAATGGTAGCTTGATGGGGATAGCATTAAATCTATAAATTACTTTGGCTGGTATGGCCATTTTCATGATATTGATTCTCCCTATCCACGAGCATGGAATGTTTTTCCATTTGTTTCTGTCCTCTCTTATTTCCTTGAGCAGTGGTTTGTAGTTCTCCCTGAAGACGTCCTTCACTTCCCTTGTAAGTTGTATTTCTATGCATTTTATTCTCTTTGTAGCAATTGCGAATGGGAATTCATTCATGATTTGGCTCTCTGTTTGTCCGTTATTGGTGTATGGCAATGCTTGTGATTTTTGCACATTGATTTTGTATTCTGAGACTTTGCTGAAGTTGCTTATCAGATTAAGGAGATTTTGGACTGAGAGATTGGGTTTTCTAAATATACAAACATGTCATCTGCAAACAGACAATTTTACTTCTTCTTTTCCTAGTTGAATACCCTTTATTTCTTTCTCTTGCCTGATTTTCCTTGCCAGAACTTCCAATACTATGTTGAATAGGAGTAGTGAGAGAGGGGATCCTTATCTTGTGCCAGTTTTCAAAGGGAATGCTTCCAGTTTGTGCCCATTCAGTATGATATTGGCTGTGGGTTTGTCATAAGTAGCTCTTATTATTTTGAGATATGTCCATCAATACCTAGTTTACTGAGAGTTTTTAGCATGAAGGGCTGTTGAATGTTGTCGAAGGCCTTTTCTGCATCTATTGAGATAATCATGCGTTTTTTGTCATTGGTTCTGTTTATATAATGGATTATGTTTATTGATTTGTGTATGGTAAACCAGCCTTGCATCTTAGGGATGAAGTAGGTTTGATCATGGTGGATAACCTTTTTGATGTGCTGCTGGATTCAGTTTGCCAGTAATTTATTGAGGATGTTCACATCGATGTTCATCAGGGATATTGGCCTGAAATTTTCTTTTTTGCTTGTGTTTCTGCCAGATTTTAGTATCAGAATGATTCTGCCCTCATAAAATGAGTTAGGGAATATTCCCTCTTTTTCTTTTGTTCAGAATAGTTTCAGAAGCAATGGTACCAGCTCCTCTTTTTACCTCTGGTAGAATTCAGATGTGAATCCGTCTGGTCCTGGGCTTTTTATGGTATTAATTACTGCCTCAATTTCAGAACTTGTTACTGATCTATTCAGGGATTCAACTTCTTCCTGGCTTAGAGTTGGGCTGGTGTATGTGTCCAAGAATTTATCCATTTCTTCTAGATTTTCTAGTTCATTTGTGTAGAGGTGTTTATAGTATTCTCTGGTGGTCATTTGTATTTCTGTGAGATCAGTGGTGATATCCCTTTTATCATTTTTTATTGCATCTATTTGATTCTTCTCTCTTTTCTTCTTTATTAGTCTGGCTATCAGTCTATCCATTTTGTTGACCTTTTCAAAAAAACCAGCTCCTGGATTCATTGATTTTTTTGAAGGGTTTTTCATGTCTCTATCTCCTTCAGTTCTGCTCTGTTTTTAGTTATTTCTTGTCTTCTGCTAGCTTTTGAATTTATTTACTCTTGCTTCTCTAGTACTTTTAATTGTGATGTTGGGGCGCCAATTTTAGATCTTTCCTGCTTTCTCTTGTGGGCATTTAGTGCTATAAATTTCCCTCTAACCATTGATTTAAATGTGCCCCAGAGATTCTGATACAGTTGTGTCTTTGTTCTCATTGGTTTCAAAGAACATCTTTATTTGTGCCTTCATTTCATTATTTACCCAGTAGTCATTTAGGAGCAGGTTGCTCAGTTTCCATGTAGTTGTGCAGTTTTGAGTGAGTTTCTTAATCTAATTTGATTGCACTGTAGTCTCAAAGACTGTTTGTTACTATTTTCATTCTTTTGCATTTGCTGAGGAGTGTTTTACTTCCAATTATGTGGTCAATTTTAGATAAGTGTGATGTGGTGCTGAGAAGAATGTATATACTGTTGATTTGGGGTTGAGAGTTCTGTAGATGTCTATTAGGTCTGCTTAGTCCAGAGCTGAATTCAAGTCCTAAATATCCTTGTTAATTTTCTGTCTCATTGATCTGTCTAATATTGATAGTGGGGTGTTAAAATCTCCCACTATTATTATGTGGGGTCTAAATCTCTTTGTGGGTCTCTAAGAAGTTGCTTTATTAATCTGAGTGCTCCTATATTTGGTGCATATCTATTTAGGATAGTTAGCTCTTCTGGTTGCATTGATCCCTTTACCGTTACATAATGCCCTTCTTTGTCTCTTTTGTTCTTTGTTGGTTTAAAGTCTGTTTTATCAGAGACTAAGATTGCTATCACTGTTTTCTTCTGCTTTCCATTTGCTTGGTAAATATTCCTCCGTCCCTTTATTTTGAGCCTATGTGTGTCTTTGCACATGAGATGGGTCTCCTGAATACAGCACACCAATGGGTCTTGACTCTCTATTCAATTTGCCAGTCTGTGTCTTTTAATTGGGGCATTTAGCCCGTTTACATTTAAGGTTAATATTGTTATGTGTGAATTTGATCCTGTCATTATGATGTTAGCTGGTTGTTTTGCCCATTAGTTGATACAGTTTCTTCATAGTGTTGATGGTCTTTACAATTTGGTATGTTTTTGCAGTGGCTGGTACCAGTTTTACCTTTCCATGCTTAGTGCTTCCTTCAGGAGCTCTTTTAAGGCAGGCCTGGTGGTGACAAAATCTCTCAGCATTTGCTTGTCTATGAAAGATTTTATTTCTCTTTCACTTATGAAGCTTAATTTGGGTAGATATGAAATTCTGGGTTGAAAATTCTCTTCTTTAAGAATGTTGAATATTGGCCACCACTCTCTTCTGGCTTGTAGGGTTTCTGCAGAGATATACGCTGTTAGTCTAATGAGCTTCCCTTTGTGGGTAACTTAACCTTTCTCTGGCTGCCCTTAACATTTTTTCCTTCATTTTCAACCTTTGTGAATCTGATAATTGTGTCTTGGGGTTGCTATTTTTGAGGAATATCTCTGTGGTGTTCTCTGTATTTCCTGAATTTGAATGTTCACCTGTCTTTCTAGGTTGGGGAAGTTCTCCTGGATAATATCCTGAAGAGTGTTTTGCCACTTGGTTTCATTCTCCTCGTCACTTTCAGGTACACCAATCAAACGTAGATTTGGTCTTTGCACATAGTCCCATATTTCTTGGAGGCTTTGTTCATTCCTTTTCATTCTTTTCCTCTAATCTTCTCTTCTCACTTTATTTCATTAAGTTGATCTTCAATCTCTGATATCCTTTCTTCTGTTTGATCAATTTGGCTTGATACTTGTGCATGCTTCACAAAGTTCTCATGCTGTGTTTTTCAGCTCCATCAGGTTATTTATGTTCTTCTCTAAACTGGTTATTCTAGTTAGCAATTTGTCTAACCTTTTTTCATGGTTTTTAGCATTGGGTTAGAACATGGTCCTTTAACTCAGAGTAGTTTGTTATTATCCACCTTCTGAAACCTACTTCTGTCAATTCATCAAGCTCATTCTCTGTCTAGTTTTGTTCCCTTGCTGGTGAGGAGTTGTGATCCTTTGGAGGAGAAGAGGTGTTCTGGTTTTTTGAATTTTCAGCCTTTTTGCACTGGTTTCTTACTGTCTTCGTGGACTTATCTACCTTTGGTCTTTGATGTTGATGACCTTCGGATGGGGGTCTCTGAGGAACGCCCTTTTTGTTGATGTTGAAGCTGTTCCTTTCTGTTTGTTAGTTTTCCTTCTAACAATCAGGCCCCTCTAGTGCAGGTCTGCTGGAGTTTGCTGGAGGTACACTCCAGTCCCTGTTTGCCTGGGTATCACCAGTGGATGCTGCAGGACAGCAAAGATTGCTGCCTGTTCCTTACTCTGGAAACTTCGTCCCAGAGGGCCTCCTGCTTGATGTCCACCAGAGCTCTCCTGTATGAGGTGCCTGTTGACCCCTACTGGGAGGTGTCCCCAGTCAGGATACGTGGGTGTCAGGGACCCACTTGCCAAACTTTAAATGTAGCAAGAAAATCAGTAAAGAATACTGATAATATAAATTATCCATACTGCAATTTTTAAGTGTATTAAAAACTGTTCTTTTTACATTTCCAGGTAAGCAGGTATTATATTCCCCAGAAGAGTAATTGTAATGTACATACTATTAGACGTATCTTCTAAAGAGATCTGATAAGGCGTTATGTCATGGAATAAAAAACTATTATGCAACGATTACTTTCAGACTTCTTAAAGATGACTTTGTATATCTGTAAATCTCATTCATTTAAGGTACAGATAAAATTTCCCTTACATCTGTATTTTTGTGTTAAATTCTAAAAATGTGATTAAGGTTTTCAGCATTTATTTCCAAAGAAACTTCTTGATTTGAAGAGAATAAAACACAAAAATTGTAATATATTGCCAGTTGTCTGTTGACATCGATTTTGCAAATATAAAATGTATATGTCAATTCTGAAGAGATTACATCTATTAATGATAAATACTACCATTTTTATATGATTTTATTTTTAAAACCATTAATTTGACATGAACAATGCATGTCTTGCATCTGTTCTTTAGGTACTGACAATCTTAAAAATGGAAATATCTAAACAATAGGGATTATTCTCTTTAATATTTACTATTCTATTTTAATTGTTCATGTTAGAAGGAATCCTAATCAGAATTATATCACATCCTGAAAGCCAAAGGGCATTACTTTCTCCACGACTAAATGGCTTTAAACTATACTCCCATTACTCCAACTTTTTCTTTCCTAACTTTGATTAAACTCTTCAAAATGGTATTACTCTATATCTCAATATCTCCTGAAAAATGAAAGCAAAGTCTCAAAAATGGCACTACTCTGTATCCAAATATCTCCTGAAGAATGAAAGCAATACTTCAACCAACTTAAACTTTAATACTTATATACGGAAAAGAAAATTGGCAATTCTCAATATTTGAAGGCAATAAAAGGATCACTACAACAGTGTAACCATCCAGTGGGTTTACCTTTCCTGCTACCTAGACAGAACCAATTTATCAAGACAGGGGAATTGCAATAAAGAAAGAGTAATTCACTCACAGCTGGCTGTGCAGGAGATGGGAGTTTTATTATTACTCAAATCAGTCTCCCAGATCATGAGCATTAAGGGATCAGAGTTTTTAGGGATAATTTGGCGGGTGGGGGAAGGCCAGTAAGTTGAGAGTACTGATAGGTCAGGTCAGAGATGAAATCATTAGAAGTTGAAGCTGTCTTCTTGCACTGAATCAGTTCTTCAGTGGGGGCCACAAGATCACATGAGCCAGTTAATTGATCTGGGTGGTGCCACATGGTTCATCAAGTGCAGGGTTTGCAAAATATCTCAAGCACTGATCTTTGGAGCAGTTTAGGAAGGGTTAGAATCATGTAGCCTCCAGCTGCATGACTCCTAAACCATAATTTTTAGTCTGGTGGGTAATTTGTTAGTCCTACAAAGTCAGTCTAGTCCCCAGGTAAGAGGGAGGTTTGCTTTGGGAAAGAGCTGTTATCATCTTTGTTTTAAACTATAAGCTATAAACCAAGTTCCTCCCAAAGTTAGTTCACAGCCTATACCCATGAATAAATGAGGATGACTTAAAGGTTAGAAGCAAGATGATGTCAGTTAGGATAGATCTCGTTCACTGTCTCGGTCGTAATTTTGCAAAGGCAGTTTCAATAGCATCTAAATTGATTTTTCTGCCACCTGAATATTCCCCTACTCTATCCATCTTGCACATTTAGACTGGATTAATCTTTCAAAACATTACATCCATCATGGCCAATGCCACTCTTTATTCTTGGATTAAGAATTTAGAGGGATCCTTAATTTTTTGTTGACAAAAAAGAGTCAAACTTTAGTATGGTTGACGAGAATTATTGTGAGCCAAATATGAGTGACCAACGGCTGGTAATAGAGTCTTCAAAATATGCTGAAAACATGTGTCCAAGGTGGTCAGACTACAACTTGGTTTTATATATTTTAGGGAGACATAAAACATCAATCAATACATGTAAGCTATACATCATTGTTTTGGTCTGGAAAGGTGAGACAACTGGAAGAAGGGGCTTTCAGGACACAGGCGTATTCAAAGATTTTCTGATTGGCAATTCATTGAAATAATTATTATCTAAAATCCACCTAAACATAAGTAAAATTGATATAAACTGTTAACAGATGAAAGGTATTAAGAATACTTCAAATGTTCAAAAATGTATAGATATGTTATCTTTTATATGTCTCTACTTGGGTAAAGAATAATGCGTATTTCTCAAGCCAAGAGTATTTAATATTCTACAGTTTAAAGAATTTATTAAAATGTAACAGAAAAAATAGCTACATTTAAAATATATCATTTTTATTTTATAAGCACATAGTATCTTTAATGTCTTGGTTGATACTTTCAAAACTATGTATACAAACACATTTTGTTGGCCAATTATATCCCTGCTAAAAAAAATCGTTTTGATTATCTTTTCAGAAAGAAAAAAATGAAAATATGAACCACACACTAAAAGTTTACTACCTTTAGGTGGAAGAAAGAAACAGGGTGGGAGAACATAGGAACGCATTTAGACTTATTTTAATTATTTTGTACTATGCTTTTAACTATGGAACCAAATAAATGTTTTTCATAATAAAAAAAGACTTAAAAATAAGAAAAAAAATGAAAGCAAGCTGAGTTCCAGCAAAGATGCGGTAATAAAACAGATTTAATATCCCTCCTGAAACAACCAAAATATGAACAAAATGTACAAAACAATGGTTTGTAGAAATCTGAAAAGCAAGATAGGAGAGTGAACTCAGAAAAATGAGAAACAAAGGAGGTAAGACCTTCAATTGTCCCAGCTTACTGACTTGAGAGAGTTCCCATATGGAGGTGCAAAGAGTAGAAGCCAGAGGAAGAATGGGTCATTTTAGAATTAAAAAAGGTACATTAATTAAGATAACATGAGAATAGTTTAGTAGATTTATGGATCTAAAAACAAAGCCTCAAAGTGTATGAAGTAAAAAACTGAAAGATCTATAAGGAATAATAGACAAATCCAAAATACTGTCAGAGATTGCAATAACCTCTCTCAATATCTAATAGAATGAGTAAAGAGAAACTCATAAAAAATAGAGACGACCAGGCCGGGTGCGGTGCTCACGCCTGTAGTAATCCCAGGACTTTGGGAGGCCGAGACGAGTGGATCACGAGGTCAGGAGATGGAGACCATTCTGTCTAACACGGTGAAAACCCGTCTTTACTAATAATACAAAAAAATATTAGCCGGGCATGGTGGCGGGCTCCTGTAGTCCCAGCTACTAGGGAAACTGAAGCAAGAGAATGGCGTGAACTCGGGAGGTGGAGCTTGCAGTGAGCCGAGATCGCGCCACTGCACTGCAGCCTGGGCGACAGAGCGAGAATCCGTCTCTAAATAAATAAATAAATAAATAAATAAAAATAGAGAAGACTGGAGTAGCACTATGAGTGAACTTGATCGAATTGACATATATAAGCTACTTCATCCAACAAAAGCAAAATACACTTTCTTTAAGAGGGCACAGGGAACAATTATCAAGATACATTATATTATAAGCTATAAGCTATAAACAAACTATTAATAAATTAAATGTATTCAAGTCACGCAGTGTGTTTTCTGAAGGTAACAGAATTAAACTCAAAATAAGAAACAGAAAGATATGAAATATTACCAAATATTTAGAAAATTTAATAACAAATTCTGAATAATACATGGATCAAAGAATATATTCAAAGGAAAATTAGAAATTATATTGAACTGAATGAAAATTAAATCATAGCATATCAAAATTCTAGGGATGCTAACAAATCTGTATTTGGGAAGAAATTTCTGGAACTATGCACCTCTACCAGAAAAATAGTAAAAAATTAATAACCTCAACCTTTGCCTAAAAGAAAGAGAAATAATGATCAATTGAAATCACCAGTACAAGAAAGAAAAATAAAGATCAGAGTAGAAATCAATGAGGTAGAAAACAGAAAAGTAGTAAAGAAAATCAATCAAACCAAAACCTTGCTCTATGAAGTCAGTGAAATCAATAAACCTTTTGCAAGATTCTTATATGAAGAAGATACCTGCATTCCTGTGTTATATCACAGTACTCTTAACAATAGCAAAGATATAGAATTAACCTAAATGTCTATCAATGGATGATTGGATAAAGAAAATGTAGTATACATATACCATGGAATACTACTCAGTCATAAAAAAATAAAATCATGTATTTTGCAGCAACACAGATGGAACTGGAGGTCACAATCTTAAGTGAAATAATTCAGAAAGTGAAATATCACCTGTTCTCACTCATAAGTAGGAGCTAAACAATGGGTATATATGGACATATGAAGTAGAATAATAGACATTGGAGACTACAAAAGGTGGGAGCATTGGAGGGAGGTGAGGTCTGAAAAATTACCTATTGAGTACAGTGTTGACTGTTCAGGTGATTGGTACACTAAAAGCCCAGGCTTCACCAATATGCAATATATGCATTTAAGAAATCTGCATTTTTTTATCCTTAAGTATACAGTTTTTAAAAATAAAAGGTAAAAAATTAAAAGAATGTAATTTAAAAAAATAAAGCAGCATGAGAGAGGTGACTCATCATGTAAAAGAGAGCCTCAATAAGAGAAACAGCTGATTGATTTATCATCAGAAACCATGGAGGCAAGAGTCAGTGGAATGGCATATTTAAACTGCTGAAAGTAAAACAACATTAAGCAAAATTTCTAGATCCATCCAGAAAAACTATTCTTCAAAAATGAAGGAAAAACTAAGAGATTCTCTGATAAACAAAAACAAAGAAAATTCATTGCTAGTAGATCTGCCCTACAAGAAATGGTAAAGAGAGCGTTTCAGACTAATTTTTTTTAAAATCAGAAAGTAAAACTTGAATCAAAGAAGGAAAGAAAGAATTCAAGAATTCCAGTAAAGGTAATTACATAGGTAAATATAAAGCAAGGATTATTACACTTTTGGTTTACAACACTTCTTTCTGTTTTCTATTTGATTTAAAAGACAAATGCATAAAGCAATAATTATAAATCAATGTTAATAAATATATAATATACATGCATAAATATTTAGTGCGTAAAAATAAAAATATAAAGCAGGTGGAGAGGTATAAGAGTGGAGATTTTGTATACTATTTAAGCTAACTTGCTATCCATTCAACATAGACTGTTATAAATTTAGGATGCTAATTGTAAACCCCATTTAATTAATGAGAAAAGATCTTTGAACTGCATTTTTAAAAGCGAATAAAAAGACTACCAAAAGAAAAAAAAGCACAAAAGAAGGTGGTAATGGATAAAATAAATTTCAAAAAAGTTTAAGCTCTATTTAAAAAATAATAAAATGGAATAAATCCTTTCTTGTCAGTATTTAAATGTAAATAAATTAAGTACACAAATCAAAAGGCATACATAGGCAAAATAAATAAACACACTTGACCCTACTGTAGTCAGCCTTTTGGTTCTGTTAGTTCTGCATCTACAGATTCAACCAGCTGCAGATTGAAACTATTTTTAAAATGTATAATAAAAATAACAATAAATTTTAAAAGAAATAAAAATATAATATAACCACTATTTACATAGCATATCTTTGATTAGGTATTATAAGTAACCTATAGATGATTTCAAGTATATGCAAATATATGTGTAGGTTATATGCAAATACTATGCTATTTTATATATGATGGTTGAGCATCTACTGAATTTAGTATTTTGAAATGTCCTAGGACTGATTCACTGTGGATACTGAAGGATTACTGTATAATGCTGTCTATGAGTGACTCACTTTAGATCTGAAGACACAAACAGATTGAAAACGAAAGTATTAAAAATGATAATACCGGCCAGGCACGGTGGCTCACGCCTGTAATCCCAGCACTTTGGGAGGCCAACACGGGTGGATCACGAGGTCAGGAGATCGAGGCCATCCTGGCTATCACGGTGAAACCCCATCTCTACTAAAAATACAAAAAACATTAGCCGGGCATGGTGGCAGGCGCCTATAGTCCCAGCTACTCGGGAGGCTGAGGCAGGAGAATCACTTTAACCCAGGAGGCGGAGGTTGCAGTGAGCTGAGATTACTCCACTGCACTCCAGCCTGGGCGACAGAGCGAGACTCCGAAAAAAAAAGATAATATCGTACAAATAGTAACTAAATATCAAAGTGATCTTCATGTCAAAAATTGTTACCATCAATAATCAATTCATCTAGAAGACATAAAATTATAAACATATATGCACCAAACAAAAGAGTTTCAAAGTATAAGAAGCAAACATTGACAGAATTAAAATGAAAAAGGGTGATTCCTATAACAGATGGATATTTCAATACTCCACTTTCAACAATGCATAGAAAATCCACACAGAACACCAGTAAAAAAATTAGACATGAACATGACTATTAAAAAATTAGAGCTAAGAGACATATATAAAATGCTCCAGCCAATGTTTCTGAGCACAAATAAAATATTTTCCATAAGAGACTATATATTAGGCACTTAAAACCCTCTCAATAAATTTTAAAATATTGAAATCATATAAAAATATTTTCTGACAATAATGGAATGAAGGTAACAATAACTGAAAAAAACTGGAAAATCCAAAAATGGAATTAAACAACACATTATTAGACAGCAAATGGATCAAAAAAAGAAATCACAATAAAAATTAGACAATAATTTGAAAAAATAACAAAAATAGAAAAATACACAAATTTACAGCATGCAGAGAAAAAAGTGCTAAGAGAAATTTTGAGCTGTAAACATCTATATTAAAAATAAAAAACTCAAATTAATAATATAACTTTTTATCTGAGAAAATAAAAGAAGAGCAAACTAAACACAAAACTACAGAAGAAAGGAAACAATGAAGATTAGAATGGAGAAAAAATGAAAGAGAAAATAGAAAAAATAGAACTCAAAAGTTGCTTTATTAAATGAGCAAACTTGACAAATATTTAGATAGAGTGACTTAGAAAAGAAAAGAAGATATAAAGAACTAATTTCAGAAAGGTCTCACCTCTCCTGTCCAACATAGTACTGGCAGTACTAGCCAGAGCAATCAGGCATGAGAAAGAAACAAAAGGCATCCAAATAGAAAAACAAGATGTCAAATTATCTCTCTTAACTGACAATATAATTTTATATTTAGAAAAACATAAAGACTCCATCAAAAGGCTCTAGAACTGATAAACAACTTCATTAAAGTTTCAGGATACAAAATCAATGTAAAAAGTCAGTAGCATTTATACATACCAATAACATTCAAGCTGAGAGCAAAATCAATAATGCAATCCCATTTACAGTTGCCATAAAAATAAAATAAAATACCTGGAAATATATCTAACCAAGGAAGTGAAAGATGTCTATAAGGAGAACTACAAAACACTAATGAAAAAAATCAGAAGGCCGGGCATGGTGGCTCATGCCTGTAATCCCAGAACTTTGGGAGGCCAAGACAGGAGGATTGTTTGAGCCCAGGAGTTCGAGATCAGCCTGGGCAACATAGAGCAATTCCATCTCTACAAATAATTAAAAAATTAACTAGGTGTGGTGGCACATACTTGTGGTCCCAGTGACTTGGGGGGTTGTGGTGGCAGAATTGCTTGAGCCCAGATGGTCAAGGCTGTGTTGAGCCATGACCACACCACTGCACTCCAGCCTAGGAGACAAAGTGAGACCCCATCAAAAAAAAAAAAAAAGGAAAGAAAGAAGAAAGAGAAAAAGAAAGAAAGAATGAAAGAAAAGAAAGAAAGAAAGAAAGAAAAGCACAGAAGACACAAACAAATGGAAAAACTTTTCACATTCTTGGTTACAAAGAACAAATATCATTAAAATGGCCATACTACCCAAAGCAATCTACAGATTCAGTACTATACTTATCAAACTACCAATGATATTTTTTACAGGAGTAGAAAAAAAAACTACTCTAAAATGTATATAGAACCCCAAAAGGCCCTGAATAGCCAAAACAATCCTAAGCAACAAGAGCAAAGCCAGAGGCATGACTTTACTTGACTTCAAACCATACTATAAGGCTACAGTAACCAAAACAACATGGTACAGTTACAAAAAAAAACACATACAGCAATGGAACAGATTAGAGAACCAGAAATAAAGCCATACAACTACTACCATCAGATATTTGTCAAAGCAAAGAAAAATTTGCAATAGGGAAAAGACCCCCTATTAAATAAATGATGCTGGGATTGCTGGCTACCCATATACAGAAGATTGAAACTAGACTCCTACATTGCACCATATACAAAAATTACCTCAAGATAGATTATAGATTTAAATGTAAGACCTCGAACTACAAATATCCTAGAATGAAACTTTGAAAACACCATTCTGACCATTGACCATGGCAAATAATTTACGACTAAGTCCTCAAAATCAGTGGCAACAAAAACGAAAATTGACAAGTAACAGCTGATTAAACTAAAGATCTTCCACACAGCAAAAGAAACTATCAGCAGAGTAAACATACAACCTACAGAATGGGGAAAATATTCACAAACTATGAGTCCAACAAAGATCTAATATCCAGAATCAATAAGGAACTTAAATAATTCAGCAAGCAAAAGCACAAATAATCCCATTAAAAAGTGGGCAAAGGACATGAACAGCCACTTCTCAAAAGACATACAAGCAGCTAAAACACATATGAGCAAATGCACCTCATAATTAATGATCAGAGAAATTCAAACAAAACCATAATGAGATACCACCTCATACCAGTCACAATGACTATTATTAAAAAGTAAAAAGTAAAAAAAAAAAAAAAGGCTGCTGGCAAGGCTGTGGACAAAAAAAAATGCTTATACATTTTTGGTGTGAATGTAAAGTAATTCAGCCACTGTGAAAAGCAATATGGAGATTTTTCAAGGAACTTAAAATAGAACTACTATTTGACCTAGGAATCCTATTACTGGTTACATACACAAAGAAAAACAAATCAGTTAGCCAAAAAGACACATGCACTAGTAGGTTTCACAGCACAGTTTATAGTATCAAAGACATAGAATCAAACTAGGTGCCCATCAAGAGTGGATTGGATAAAGAAAATATGGTACATATACACCATGGAATACACAGCCATAAAAAATAATGAAATCATGTTATTTGCAATAACATGGATGCAGCTGGAGGATATTATCCCAAGTGAGTTAATGCAGGAAAAGAAAACCAAATGCCACATGTTCTTAGTTACGAGTGAGAACTAAGCATTGGGTACACATGAACACAAAGATGGGAACATCAGACAGTGAAGACTACTGAGCGAGAAGAGAAGGAAAGATGCAGGGGTTGAAAAACTCCCTGTTGGGTACTGTGCTCACTACCTGGTTGATGAGATCATTCATAAACTGAACCATGGCATCACGCAATATACCCAATAAAACAATCTTCACAAGTACCCCCTGAATCTAAAATAAATATTGAAACTATTTAAAAAGTGGATGTTACTAACAACCTTACAGAATAAAAAATGATTATGAGAGAATAATATGAGTAAGTATACTTCAAAATTTGGATAATCTAAATGAAATGGAAAGTTCCTAGAAACACAAAATTACCAAAACTGACTCAAGAAGAAATAGAAAATTTATACAAATTTAAAAGTAAACAGAATGAATCAATAATCAAAAATCTCTCATCAAAGAAGAGTCCAAGGCCACATGGCTTCACTGGTGAATTTTACAAACACTTAAAGAACATTTAAAGTCAATCATTTCAAACTCTTCCAAAAAATGGAAGATGAGAAAACACTTGCTAACTCATTCTGTGAGGCCAGCATCACCCTAATACCAAACCTAGACACAGAAATCAGGAGAAAAAAAAAAAAACTACAGAACAATAACTCCTATAAACACAGATGTCAAAATCCTCAACAAAAACTAGAAAACCCAATCCAAGAATGCATTAAAAGTGTTATATATTATAACTAAGTGGGACTTATTTCAGAAGTGCAAGCTTAGGTCAACATAAGAAAATCAATCAATATAATACACCACAATAGTAGAAGAAAGGAAAACTGTAAATAATAATGTCAATTGATGCATAAAAAGATTTTGACAAAATGAAACAGTTTTTCTCATGGTAAGAACACTCAGAAAACTTTCTCAACTTGATAAAGAGCATTTAAGAAAAATCTACAGCTAATATAATAGCCGATGGGGAAAACTGAAAGCTTTTCTCCTAAGGTAAAGAACAAGACAAGGCTGCCTATTTTCATCACTACTGTTCAAAATTGTACTGAACGTTCTAATCAGAGCAATTAGGCAAGAAATATAAACAAAGGCATTCAAATTAGAAAAGCAGAATGAAAACAATCTCTGGTCACAGATGACATACAATGTATAGACAATCCTGATGGATCCACAAAATAAGCTACCAGAACTTAAGCACATTTAATAAAGTTACAAGGCACTATGTTACAGCTATGTTTCTACACACAAGCAATAAATCATCTGGACAGAAAATTTAAAGAGTGAATATATTTTCAATAGCAAGTAAAATAATAAAATGCCTAGGACTAAATGTAATCAAGGAGTTGAAGTATTTGTACACTGATCTATAAAATATTGTTGAAATATGTTTTAAAAGACCTAAATAAATGGAAAACCATCCCATGTTAATTGGTAGGAAGACTTAATGTTGTTAAGATGGCAATATTATCCAAAGAAATCTACAGATTCAATGCAATCCTTGTGTGATGGTTAATACTGAGTGTCAACTTGATTGGATTGAAGGATACAAAGTATTAATTCTGGTTGTGTCTGTGAGGGTGTTGCCAAAGGAGATTAATATTTGAGTCAGTGTGCTGGGGAAGGCAGACCCACCCTGCATCTGGTGGGTACAATCTAATCAGCAGCCAGCAAATATAAAGCAGGCAGAAAAACGTGAAAGGAGAGACTGGCCTAGCCTTCCAGCCTACATCTTTCTCCCATGCTGGATGCTTCCTGCCCTGGAACATCAGACTCCAGGTTCTTCAGTTTTGAGACTCAGACTGGCTCTCCTTACTCCTCAAGCTTGTAGACAGTCTACTGTGAGACACTGTGATCACAAAAGTTAATACTTAATAAACTACCGTGTGTGTGTGTGTGTGTGTGTGTGTGTGTGTGTGTTCTGTCTCTCTAGAGAACCCCAACTAATAGAGATTTTGGTATCAGGCATGGTTCTAGAGGAATAGAATATTAAGGATGGAGTTCTTTTGTTTGTTTTGGAGTTTCTGGACTTGGCTGCTCAATATGATTAGATCCAGAAATGCTGAGGACTCTGCTTCTTTTAGTATGAAGAACACTGATAGTTTTTGGTCTGAACTGTTTAGAGAGTTATGCAAAATAAATGCGTTTGACACTCCTGATTCACTGCTCATGAGAGGCAAGGAGTTTAGTAACTCTATACATAATACATTTGACCATATGTAGAGAACCAAGGAGCATAATGAAGCTGGTTGGTTGCTTCTAAGTTCAGTGGACAAAGTGATGAAAGAAAATAATGAACTCAGGGATTCTGTCTCTCAGCTTCAAAAGCAGATACTGAGCCTCTAATATGCTAAGATTGCCCTGAGTGAGAGTCTTATCTCCTGTAGAGAAAGAGCTGCAACTGTGGAAAAACAGACACAACCTCTTATCGTGTGAGTGGCTGAACTGCAATGAAAGATCCACGCACAGCCTTGCCAGGTGTCTACTGTTAAAGTGAGGACATTGATTGGAAAAGAACGGGACCCTGCAACTTGGAATGGGGATGTGTGGGAGGACCCAGGTGAAGGTGGGGACCCTGACTTTTTAAACTCTGATGAATCTTTTTTGCCATAAGGAACAGCTTACCCATCACCAGTAGTGGCAACATCCCCTCCCTGACCCATGCTGCCATCAGCCTTCCTTCCTTTGTCTGAGGAGATAAATCCTGTGCTGCTGCCTGCAGTAACAGTGATGGCCTCCCCTGTGGCAGTTGCCAAGAAAAATAATGTTGATTCTCCTGGGGAACCACCTCAACACCCTTTTTTGCTTCTACACTTGTAACTAGACTAAAGTCCCAGCAGGCCCCTAGAGGTCAGGTTGAGAGTGTGACCCATGAGGAGGCACACTACACTCTAAAAGACCTTTTTGAGTTCTCTAATTTATATAAACAGAAATTTGGAGGACAGGAATATGAATGGATATTAAGGGCATGGGATACTGGTGGAAGGAACATAGAGTTGGATCAGGCTGAATTTATTGATTTGGGACCAATAAGTAGGGACTCTGCTTTTAGGGTTGCAGCTTGAGAACTTAAAAAAAGGTTCTAATCGTTTATTTGCTTGGTTATCTGAAATATGCATTAAATGATGTTCCACTGTGAGCAAGCTGGAAATGCCTGATCTCCTTAAGTTTAATGTAGAGGAAAGGATCTAAAAGCTTAGGAAGAATGGGATACTGGAATGGATTAGTCACTTTAGACCTACTCATCCCAGCTGGGAGAGTCCAAAAAATATACCCTTGACCAATGCTCTGCAAAATAGATTTGTGAAGGCAGCACCTGCATCTTTGAAGAGCCCTGTAATTGCTCTTCTCTTATATCATATCTAACAGTGGGAACTGCAGTCATTCAACAAAAAAATTTAAATACAACGGGAGTAATTGGATCTCAAGGTGGCAGCGGCCAAGTGACGACACTCAACTATCAAAGGCAAGGTGGGCATAGCTACCGTAATGGACAGCAAAGACAAAGCAGCAAACAGAATAGTCTCATTTGTGTAGAGCTCTGGAATTGGCTAATTAATCACGGTGTTCCTAGAAGTGAAACTGTTAGGAAGCCTACTTCATTTCTACTTAATTTATATAAGGAGAAAACTTCTAGGTCGAATGGACCAAAGACTAATTTGAATTATAAATCAGAGAATGACAATCTCAGATTAACAATGTAATTTCACACCTACAGAAACTAGAAAAACAAAAACAAAACAACCCTAAAACTAAAGAAGAAAAGAGATCATCAAAATCAGATCTGAACTAAATGAAATTGAGATGCAGAAATCAATACAAAAGATTAACAAAACCAAAAGCTGGTGCTTCAAACGATTAACCAAGATTCATAAACTGCTAGCTAGACTAATAAAGAAACATAGACAGAAAATCCAAATTCTTCCAGATATAAAAAGAAGAGCTAGTACAAATCCTAGTAAAATTATTTTTTAAAAAATCAAGAAGGGGGGACTCCTCCCTAACACGTTTTATAACATCAGTATCATTTTGATTTAAAAAAAGAAAACGAGCAAAGGCACAACCAAAACAGAAAACCTAAGGCCAATATCCCTGGTTAACATACATGCAAATACCCTCAACAAAATACTAGAAAACTGAATCCAGCAGCACATCAAAAAGTTAATTCACCACAGTCAAGTAAGTTTAATTATTGGGATGCAAGGTTGTTTGAATATATGCAACTCAATAAATTTGATTCATCACAAAACAGAATTAAGAACAAGAGCTCATGATCATCTCAATAGAAACAAAAAAGGCTTTTGATGAAATTCAACATCCTTTAATGTTTCAAAACCCTCAACAAATTAGGCTATGAAGAAACATACTTTAAAATAATAAGAGGCATCTATTACAAACCCACAACCAACATCATACTAAATAGTCAAAAGCTGAAAGTATTCCCCTTGAGAAGTGGAACAAGACAAGGATGCCCACTTTCACTACCCATATTCAACATAGTACTAGAAATCTCAGTCAGAGCAATCAAGCAAGATAAAGAAATAAAAAGCATCCTAATAGGAAGAGAGGAAGTCAAACTATCTGTCTTTACAGACAATATAATTCTATACCTAAAAACTTCACAGACTCCACCAGAAGGCTTCTAGTTCTGATAATTAATGTACAAAAATCAGCAGTTTCTACCGATAGCTTGCATGCTAAGAGGTAAATCAACAATGAAATCATATTTATGATAGTAACAAAAAGAATAAAATACCTAGGAATATAGCTTACCAAGAGGGTGAAAGATCTCTATAACAATAATTACAAAACAGTGGTGAAAGAAATCAAAGACAACACAAACAAATGGAAAAACATTCCATGCTCATGGAGAGGAAAAACCAATATTGGTAAAATGGCCATACTGTGCAAAACAATTTACAGATTTAATGCCTTTCCAATCAATCTACCAAGGTCATTTTTCACAGAATTAGAAAAAAATTCTAAAATTTATTATGGAACCAAAAAAGAGTCTGAATCACCAAAGCAAACCTAAGTATTAAGAACAAAGCCAGAGGCATCACACTACCCGACTTCAAACTACACTACAAGTCTATAGCAACCCAAACAGCATAATACTGGTACAAAAACAGACACATAGACCAGTGGAAGAGAATAGAGAACCCAGAAATGAAGCCACACACCTACAACCACATAATCTTCAACAAAGGTAACAATAAAAAACAATGGGGAGCAGACTTTCTATTCAATAAATGGTGCAGGTATATCTAGCTAGCCATATGCAGAAGATTGAAGCTGGATCTCTTCCTTTCACCATATACAAAAATCAACTCAAGATGAATTAAAGATTTAAATTTAAGATCGTAAATATTAAAAACCCTAGAAGAAAAAGTAGAAAATACCGTTCTCTGGACATTCGCCATAGCAAAGAAATTATGACTAAGTCCCTGAAAACAATTGCTACAAAAACAAAAATTAAAATGGGACATAATTAAAGAGCTTTGCACAGCAAAAGAAACTATTAACTGAGTAAGCAGACAACGTACAGAATGGGAGAAAATGTTCACAAACTATACACCTGACAAAGATCTAATAGAATCTACAAGAAACTTAAAGAATTCAAAAAACAAAAATCAAATCACACCATTAAAAAATGAGCAGAAGACACGAACAGCACTTCTCAAAAGGTGACACACAAGGAGCCAACCAATACATAAAAAACGCTTATCATTGCTAATCTCTAGATAAATGAAAATCAAAACCACAGTGAAATACTACCATCCACCAGTCAGAATGGCTATTACTAAAAAGTCAAAAAACAACAGATGCTTTCAAGGCTGTGGAGAAAAGGAAGCGCTTATGCACTCCTTGTGTGAATGTAAATTAATTCAGTAACTGTGGAAAGCAGTGTGGAGATTTCTCAAAGAACTTAAAATAGAGCTATCATTCCTAGGAATTCCATTACTGGGTACATACCCATAGGAAAATACATCATTCTACCAAAAAGATGCATGCATTCATATGTTTATAGCAGCACTATTCACAATATTAAAGACATGGAATTGGCCAAAATGTCCATCAACAGTGGATTAGATAAAGAAGATGGGTACATATACATCGTGGCATACTATGCAGCCATAACAGAAACACAATTATGTCCTTTGCAGGAAGATAGATTGAGCTAGAAGCCATTATCCTAAGCAAACTAATGTAGGAAGAGAAAAACAAATACTGCATGTTGTCAATTATAAGTGGGAGCTAAACACTGAATACACGTGGACACGAAAATGGGAAAACTAGACACTGGGGACTGCTTGAAAGCGGAGGTGGGGAAGGGGGCTTGGGTTGGAAGGCTACTTATAGGGTACTATGCTCACTACATCAAGCCTTAGCAACATGCAGTTTACCTACCTAACAAACTTACACATGTACCTCCAGAACCTAAAGTATAAGCAGAAAAAGAAAAAAGTTAAAAAAACAAAAGATACTCAATTTCTTTAGTCATTAGGAAAATGCAAATTCAATCAACAGTGAGATATCATTCAACATCTATTAAAAGAGTTAGAATTTTGAAGAACTGACCATACCAAGCACTGGCAAGGATACAGAATATCTGGAAGCTTAATACACAGTTGGTGGGAATGTTATATGGTACAACCACTTTGAGAAACAGTTCAGCAGTTTCTTAATAACTTAAACGTATACCTACCATATAATTCCACTCTGAGATATTTATCAAAGAGAAATAAATGCTTGTATCCGTACAAATACTTGTACTCTAATGTTATACCAGTTTTATTTGTAATAGCTAACAACTGGAGACAACTCAAATGTCCACGAATAGATGAACGAATAAGTGAATTGTGGTATATACATATAATAAAATATTGTAACCATAAAAATGAACTATCCACATATTCTACAATGTGAATGAATCTCAAAACAATTATTCTGAGTCGAAGAAGCCAGGCAATAAAAGGATATATACAATGTGACTTCCTTTACATAGAATTATATGACAAGTAGAATTGCACAGTAATAGAAGTCAAATCATTTTGTTGCCATTGGATAGGGTGGGTGGAGAGGAGCAAAAGGAAAGGATTACAAAGGGATCAATGAAATTCCAGGGAGTGGAGGATGTGTTCATTATCTTAACTGTGCTGTAGTTACTTGAATGTATCTGTATGTCAAATCTTATTAAATTGTACACTTTATGTACGGTTTATTGTATGTCATTTATACTTTAATAAATTTGTTTTAAAAAACAAACTGAAAAAATCCTAAGTATTTATCAAGTCAAGGACATAACCAGCAGAAAAAAATTATCTCAAGTGACTTGAAAACAGTGTTTCATTGTGTGTATCTAATGGCTATATCACAAAGACTAAAACATTATAAAGAAATATTAAATTGCATTTAGTTGTCTTATTGAAAGTAACACTATTCACCTTTAACTTCAAAATATCATATTGTAGAGATACAAATATAAAATCAAACAACTAGATATAATTCCTGAAATATTTTACATTAATTGGAAATACCTATATGATCTCAGGAATTTTTTTCCTCTCTGTGTGTGTCACCTATGTATAATTTCCTAGATCTGTCTACTAAAAACCTTTAGAAGTAACATCATACTAGTGGCGACAATGTTCAGATTATGATCTGTAAATGACATTTTCCAATAAATGAAACCAGAACCTTGGAGAAATGGCTGTTTTAAGTCTGAATAAGGAACATGTAAGATAATCTGTGTACACCTTATTATATCAGACAGCTGGCAAGGTATCTAGGAGTTCTGGGGTAATGTTAAAAACACAAAGAGGCCTATTTTGACTAGCACTCACTGGGCAAAGATAGGACTATCTGAGCATCAATATATTGAAAACTGCAGCACATTAAATAGACATCAAATATAAAAATACTTCAAATATAAAAAAAACTAGTCATTAATAAAGATACTTATAACACACTAGTCACCTTTGGAGGTTGCCAGTACTCCAACTCATTACTCCAAAATGTATAAATAAGGTGAATAAATAAAGCATGTATCCTGCCTTTTTTTGTAAGGAAACAGCTTCAAGGTTATCAAATAGTTGATGAGTAGTTCTTCACAGAATTAAATCTAATAAATTCAGACAGATTGATAACAATTACAAAATGACCATTTTGCAACCTCTTAGCAAAATAAAAGACCTCGGCAACAATCGTCATAGTTGCTGGAGGAACTTAATGATGAATGTACGAGGCTGACAACTATGATCAATTTTAGGAAATTACATTTCCTCTGATTTGACACTATATGAAGTAAACAGCACTACCTATGAAGGACTCTAGCTAAAATAAGCAAAATTGAATCTAATTAAACCTAAAAATACATTGACAACATAAACTGGGAAATTAAAGGAGCATGTTAAACTACACCACAAGGATGCAATCAGCTAAATTTAGAGACTGGGAAATTCTACAGGACAAATTATCCACATTCTTTAACAAATATGTGGCTTCTTAAAGGGGTAAAGTGAACGTATCAGAGATTAGAAATGATATCTCAACCTAACACAAATATGTGACTTTATTGAGTTCTGCTTCAAACAAAGCAAATGTAAAACTATACTTTTTGAGACACAATGAAGAAACTGAACATGTACTGCTTACTGGATGATGTTAATGAATTATAGTTAATTTGGGGATGTAATAATAAAATTATGCTTATCTTTTTTCTGTTAACACACTGAAGTATTTTTGGGTGAAATAATACGTTTGGAACTTGCTTTCTAATTACTCTAGAAGAAAAAGTAAGTGTGGATGGGGAATAGATGAAGCTAAAATTGCAAAGTGTTGATAATTTTTAACCTAGGTGATAGATAAGTAAAGATTCATTATAATATATTCTGTTCTTTTATGTTTGAAAATTAAAATAATAAATTTTAATAAATCATTGGGTTAATAAGCCTATTTAGAATATAGAAAGCCATATTGCCTAGTACCTATAATATGCCTATGGAAATATTTTAACTGTAGAAAAATAACTTGGTTGAGAATTAATTTGCAAGCCATAATATAACGTCTGTGGATTCAGGTTACCTAGGTATAAATTCTGGCTTTCCTGCTTGCTAACTGCACAACCTTGAAAAGGTTGTATAACCTTTCTAAACCTCAATTTTCTTAGCATTTTAATGAAAATAATGACTTTTAATGAAGTATTGACTTCATAGAGGCACTATGAGGTATAACAAATAACCCATGTGAAGTGTTAGCATGGTGCATGACCATAATAAATGTCTAATAAAGGTTAATTGTTTTTATTAATCTGTAGTCTCAGGCTCCACTTTAAAAGAGGAGAAAACTATTAAAATTACCACTTGTAATACATAGAATTCCAAGCTGGATATAGTCTTCAGAAATCATCTTGTATCCTCAGACAATTTAAAGGTGAAGTTTCCAGAAAGAGGAATGGAATAGAGACTATATTATTCACATGGAATAGAGACTATATTATTCACATGGAATAGAGACTATAGAGATGCCATAGGACCTATTTTACCTCTCTTGGATAATTTCTCTGTTTCTCCCTCTGGACCCTGCCTTCCCCTAACTCACGTATTATTTAAGTTTATAAAACAAAACTACACACAATTATTTTAAAATGGTCTGACAGTGCAGAATATAGACATATTTCTTTATACTTTGTACATTATAATTACTTCACACCCTACTGCAAGAAGTAGTATTTATAAGTAACAAACTTAGGGAATAAAGATATTACATTGTTACACCAATTTGAGAAAGTAATTTCAATTATGTACAAATCATTAAAATAATAGTCATTTATTATTGTTAAGCATCTATTACTGTAATTATGTTCCAGGTTTTCTCTCATGAGCTCGAAATGCTTTTCAAATCTATTGAACTCTACTCTCTAAGCCTTTCTAAGCCTCTTCATTGCACAGTACCTCTGTTATCTAGCACACTACCAGTGTTCTTTGACATTTATGTTAAATGCCACTACCATTATATTTATTAATACCTAGAGTTACAAAATGCACAAAAATGCACCTAGAGTTACAAAATGCACAAAAATTGTCTTGACAGCAATCACCTAAAAACGATACGTTTAAATCAATCTATTTCTAACATAAAACCTTTTAATTTAGAAATGTGAGTGCACCTACTCGCAGACAAGATTTTTTTTTCTGTGAAGAAGAAACAATAATAGGGTCCTGATGTGCATAAGAATTTACAGATTTCTGAATTATCAAAGAAATGTTACCTATTGTTCAATCTATATTAGCTATATTTTATCATAGTCTAAATATTTAAAACTTTGGAATTTGGCAGCTCTCTAGTAACATAAATATATTTTAACATCTAAAACAGTCAATTTTGTAATATGCTAAATAGAATAGAGCTTACCATAGAAAAAATGCATACTTAAGAAAATGCCACCGTTTTTCAAGACCTTTGGGCATCGTGTAAGACACTGCACTGGCAGTTAAATGGAAATTGTTAAAGCACTTTCCTATGTGTAGCAAGTCTGAATGTGAATTAAACATTGATTCATCATTTCCTATACCCTACTGATATTCCTTTGACATATGTAGGAGCCAAGGTTTGTTTGGAAGTATAAAAAGAAAAGTAACTAAATTTATTCCATTTATGTGACTAATAAAGTGACATATACTGAAAAAAATCAAACCACTCTTCTGATTTTATAAAGGTTTGTGGTCAATATTACTTGAACATTATCCATAAGGTCTTGATTTGGAGATACTGGGGATGGTTGTTTCATGGCTGTGGCTGCAAATAAAATATCTGAACGCTTTATAGGTGTTCAATACATAAATATACAAACTAAAAAATACGTACATGAAGCCTAAAGTATCAATAAAGAAATCCATTCCCAAGATGCTTTGAAAAGCGAAGTGAGTGCATCAGGTGAGGAGTGTGGAAAGGCACATTGAAAAGCAGAGCTTTAAGGTAATATACACATTCAGGAAAGTTCTACTTAAAAACTCAGTTATCTCAATATTTCACTTGTATATACAGGCCAGTGGATATCTAAGCAAAAATATTGCAGAGGATAATTCTATTTGTGAATGCTAAAAATATATAATCCATACTACTGCATACTCTGTATACAATCAAAAAAGTATATATAGTTTTGATAATATATTCCAAAAAATAGTTTTAATAAGGATATAGAAGGGATGACTATTGAAATTTAACTTAAATCACTTACTCATTGTGTAGGGAAAATGGCAAACAAGTTAACTATGAAAACTGAGACCAGGCATCAGATTTATGTTGTTTCATACTGGTATTTCAAATGATCTTTGAGATTTTTCTTAAGTGTGCTACCATGCAATTCTAATTGAATTGACCTTTCTTCTATATACTTACAACAATATTTTTATGATAACCATGCAACTAATGCTTAATTCCCCATGCAAATTTTGAAAGATATTATTAATAAAGGCATATCAAATCTTAAATATTTAATATATTTCTTCTAATATTAATGCCAGATTTATATTATTATAAAAAGAAAATAATAATTATATTGTCATTTCAGACAACGAGAGCCAGTGTGTGTAATTTAGAAAAAAGGAAATTCACATTCACAGTGTTGATTAATAAGGTTTACTATATATACTTCTCAAATACATCAAATTCATATTGAGCTTTGCATTCATTTTAATTGGATATGTTTGGATGGAAAAATAAAATATATCAATGATGATACCCTTACTAAATACATCCACAGACTAATCAATTCAAGGATTTACAGTAGACAGCCTATAAACATTATCCACCTATCTTTTCTTCTCTATAGCTAGCCCCACCCCCACCCCAATGTAGGAGATTCAGCTGAGACAATTAATAGCAGAACACTTCAGTAATTCAGGTGCGGTTCACTTTTAAAAGGCAAGTCAAAACCCAACAATTAAAAGTTCTATTATAATTAAAAATCACTTTAAAATTTTATAATATATTTTGATATCCTTCTTCAGAGTTTATTTGACAACTTATTCTTGAAAAGGCATCTCTTACATTCAATCAATTATAACTTTCAAAAGATGCCCAATCTTGTATTTGGGATATATTTTGTTCATTTGTTCATTTTAAACTTACAATCTGTTTTACTTTCAATTCTTTCATTTCATTTTCTAAATGCCTTCATAATTTTTTCTGCCTATGAAATTAACACATGCATGCTACTAAAAATATAGAAAACTATGAAGAATAATACAAAAGTCAAATAATCTTATCACCTAGATAAAACTGCAATTAACTCTTGGTGTATGCGTTGCCAGAATTTTCTACGCACAGATGCCGATACAGGTATTGAAATTATATTTTTACAAAAATGATCAAGCTATACGTTCTATTATTCAAGCTACTTAACCCACCCAACAATGTACCACAGATATAGTTTCATATCTATATATACTGCACATATCTGCATGACTTTAAGGACTATAATATTCTAGCCAATTACGAACTATTAAAGAAAAGTTAAACTTTTAGGCCTCGATTCCTGGATGTTGAACAGAGAAATGAGCAATCTATCGATGAAATGTATTCCTGTCAAATCAAGGACTGAATGATTGACAAAGATGACCAGTTACTGTAGTTAATTCTTTTGTCCTGGGCAAAATATGCAACTACAATTACTTCATACCAGTTAAAACAAGCAAAGCTTGAAGAATTTATTTAAAATTATGTAAAATTTAATCAAAAGGAACCTCCCCCAAAAAAACTCATGATGCAGATAAACACAAAATTCCTACTCAGACACAATACATAGTAAATAATTATTTATAACAATATTATTTTCTTCCTCTATTAGTTTTCCCTTTTTATGTTTTCTCTTTTCAAGATCTCTCTACTCTCTTTTAACAATTGTTTACAGACTTACAGCCAGCAAACCCCCAACTTATATTTATTTTCTCTATCGAGTCTCTCCAGCAAAAACCAACTAAATACCTTTTAACACTAAATTCAGTTCTTGATAAACAATAAATAGCCAATGATAAATTATTGCACTTAACATGAGTCTTTAAAGAAAATAAAAATGCAAACATGTACTTCCTGAGAGATAACATTTTAAAAACTTTTAGAAGCTAATAGTTTCATAGACAAAATTTATTTCATTAAGCTCTGTTCACTATTCCATATTAAACAATGCAGCCTGTGGCACTCACACAAATAACTTCAGTTTTATTTTAGTTCTTTTATGTTTTTCTAAGAGGTAATGCAAGGGAAAGAAAACTACCCTTTAAAGGGAATGGACTTTATTCTTCAATGTTTCTGTGATACTTCTTTAGACAGATTGAAACAACACATACATGCACACACACACACACACACACACACACACACACACTTACAGGAAAGATGTACTAGACGGTGTGTGTATTAACTGGCCTGCTTCTGCCAACTCAATGGTATGTTTTCTCTCAAGCTTTTCACAAACAAGCACAGTGCTTCTTTGATGTTTGATGTGGGATGGTCATACTCTCCAAGCAAAATCTGCAGATATCTGCTGTTGAAATACTCCAATCTGTTCAAGAAGCAAATAAAATACAAATTCCACCAACTGACTGCCATCTTTAGAACTTTTACATTCTAGTCAGATGGTCCCAGACCTGGTTCATAGGCTGCCTATTCCTAATTTACTTCGTTGAAATTTAATCTACGGTGGGGAGAGAAAATACACATAGTAAATTCCAATTTAATTTCAAATACGTGCTTAAGAAGAAATTAAATATTTATGTTTATTCCACTAGAGCCAATCAGATGAAGAGAAAGCAGACCATGGAGAAGAAACCTTTGCACAAAGACAGAAATATTGGCCAAGCAGGTTCTACATTTCAGAGAAAGCTATGAAAGAAGAGAGCACTTCATACAGTTACTTTCAAAGAATAGGGGGAAAATGGCATACCTTTGTTAAAGGTTTCCTTAAGGAACCTGAATTAAAACTACATAATAAACTCAAAAAATTAAAGAGAAATCATGTTAATGCACAGCTTCATAACACTTGAGTGAAAATGTTCAACTATATATAGATTTATGACCCATAGCTTATATTTTCTTTTTTTTAAAAAAAAGAATGCTCTGTAATATAAAAGACCTTATTGAGGTTTACTTCTTTTGTAAATTTTTACATATTAAAAGGTATATTCTGATACTCTAAAGATCTGATGACTTTTAGACTCTAAGCTCAAGCTGTCAACCTGAAATATGCTAGGAAGATAATAGGTGATAGCATTAGGCTCAGAAAAAAAAGACACACACACACACACACACACACACACACACACACACTAACAAAAATGAAAAAACAGTGTAGAACATTACCATAGAAATTTGTACCTGTGGAGGAAAAAACACACTGGACCTAGAAATTTATAGGGCTTAATAGAGGTTATATTTTAAGGGAGGAGCATATTTATGTAGAAAAATGAGAGCAAGGGGAAGAGGAAGGAAAGGAGATAACCCAAATTTGTATAACAATGAAGTTTTCAAAGGTTGTGTGGCTAACCACAAATAAAAGTCTTACCATATAAAACCCCATGGAACATACTCAAACAGAAAGTGAAGTCATTAGCCCAAAATCTGTATGATAAATTTTTAAAAATCATTTTGCTGTTTGACTTAAGAAAGACAAAATAATGCTTATAGATACTCCCATTCTTGATGTGTATACTTTCCTTATAATGAAAAATATGCATCAAAATCACACACTTGGAAAAGGTCTATTTTGTTAGACTATTTACATTTATAATTAGGGTAGAGGAATCTATTCTTTATTTATCAGAGTTTACAATAAAATTGCTTTGGGAAAGACAATTACCTTAATTTCTCTCGGTTTTCTGACTATAATTCACCTTATAAGACACCTCTCCTAGAAGGTGACATGAAAGGATGCCTGCAAATTATCAAGCCTAGCACTTGTTCCTCATGTTTGCTGCTAAAACCAGATCTTTTATTTTATACAGTTCCTGTCAGGAATGTAGGCAGAAGCAGCAGATTTTGATATGTATTGCTATCAGGGCACTTAGAAATAAATTATAATTTAATATAAATTAAACATTTGAATTTAAATACAGGACTGAATTTAGTATCAGCACAGAAAAATGCCCTTTTTATAATTTATCGTCACTCATTTATTCATTCAAAAATATTTATTAGGTACCTGCTCTGTAATTTAACAAGATAAACGAGATCTCTAACTTCATGCAGTTTATATTTTAGTAGGAGAGAAACATACAGTAAAAATAACAATATATTTTTATAATGTTTTTTTAAATTAAAAATAAAAAATATTATTTAATAAGCAAGATTAAGTATTAAAATATCAGAGTTATGTGTTCTTCAGAGAATTACAGTCCACTAATATAGAGAATGATTGAGCAGTGAGGGGAAAACTCTCTGAGGAGACAAAATTAAACTAAAACTTGAATGACAAGAAAATTCTGGGCATTAAAGGATCATGTAGAACATCCCAGGCAAAGAGAACATTATGCAAAGCCTTTAAGGTAGAAATGGGCTGTATTCAATGTATTGAAGAAACAGACAGAATGACAATATGGCTGAAGTGTAGTAAATGACAGGGAGAATAGTATGAGATGAGGCAAGAAAGCGTAATAGCCAGTTGGTGCAGTGCTTTCTAAACCAAGGTAAAAGTTTGGATATTTTTAAGTGGCAAAATATTAGAAGGTTTACATAGGATAGCAATATGATTTGATGTAAACCCCCTTTCTCTGTATCTGTGCATAATATTCTCAAGAGAAAGGGATGGCCAGAAATTTTATGGCACACTGTTTTAGTTTTAGAGTCTGGATTTTATATCAATCATGTCTCTCCTGGTGAGGGAAAGAAAAAGAAAGATTTCTGCCTTTGTTTTTAGCTGTCATCTTTTTAATGTCATGTGGATGAATAAAGCTCAACTACTGCCAACAGAAACATACAGAAAAATAAACAGACTCCTTTTTTTTCTATACATATACACAGGTATACTTTTGGCAAATCCTCACTTGTCTTTCCAGTAATATTGTCCCCAGTGTCCTGATATATCTTCTATCCCAGCCAGCAAATGATCAAAGAACTGCAACAGAACAAAACATGTGTCTAAATATATAGCATATATGAGGAACTTGGTCAGTTACTATAAAATAAAAAGATCCATCGACGACATCTTCAACATTGTTGATTTCATCTGACTTGCTTATTTTTTAATCTTAAGCTTTTTTCAGGGTAGGCATAAGAAGAGGCATCTACATCTGTATGTAAGGATATTGGCAGTATCTCTAGTATAAGCATTTGAAATGCTTTATTTAAAATTGAAAATGGCTTGGCATGGTGGCTTACTTCTATAATCCCAGCACTTTGGAAGGCTGAGACAGGAGGATGGCTTGAACCCAGGAGTTCGAGACCAGCCTGGGCAACATGATGAGACCCCGTGTCTACAAAAATTTTTCACAAAATTAGCTGAGAATGGTGGTGCATGCCTGTAGTCTCAGCTATAGGGGAATCTGAGGTGGGAGGATTGCATGAGCCCAGGAGTTTGAGGCTGCAGTGAGTAGTGATAGCACCACTGCACTCCAGCCTGGGCAACAGACCCTGTCTTAAAAGTAAATAAATAAATATAAAATTACAAATGTACATACTAATCAGAATCATGTGATGGATTTATTCATCTACTGAAGATCTGGGCTTGGTACCATGGAAGAAACAAAACAATTAAACGGCATGCTCTCTGTCTTTGAACCAAACTGGAGAGGCAAGACAAAAAGTAGATACAGACCAAGTTCAAACTTGGCACGTGTATATGTACAAGTGCAACAAGAAAAGGCAAATTTAGCAAAGAAGCAGGAAAAGGTAGAGTAAGAGAAGGCTAATATTAAAATGTGCACTGTGAGGCAGGCCCTGATGAAATGGGGTTATGTATGGTAAAAATAAGTCATTTTGTGTAATATGAAGAGCATGAGTAAAATGTATGGTAGAAAATAAGGAATTTATAAGAGATTTATGCAAAAGAAGGTTGGATAGATACGGGCCAAGGGTGGGGAAAAGGGAAAAATTGACAAAGGGCTTCAAATATTAACATTAAAACTTTAATGTGTTATAACATCACAAAAGATGCATAACTTACCTACTCATGAAGAAACAATCAATAAATCCAACTTGAGTTATTTTCTCCAAAACAACTTGCATGTACTCTTCAAAAATGCCAGTGTCATAAAAGGCAATGAAAACTGAAAAATAGTTTTATATTAAAGGTAATTTAAAAATATGACAACTGGATGTACTGCATGATCATGGATCAGGAGAAAAATACTATTAAAAATTGGGGGACATTTGGCAAAATTTAAAATATGAAAATATGTTAGCTAACACCATTTTATCAATTTAAACTTTGTGCATTTGATAGATTGTGATTATGTACTAGAATGGCCTTTTTTTTTAAGAAAATATTAATGGATTAAGAAATATTAAGGGGTGAATAGTCAGGATATCTGCAATTCAGTCTCAAATAATTCAGCAAATGACAATAATATATACATATATACAAGACTCTCACTCTGTTACCCAGGCTGGAGTGCAGTGATGCGATCTTGGCTCACTGCAACCTCCATCTCCCAGGTTCAAGCGACTCTCCTGCTTCAGCCTCCCGAGTAGCTGGTGTTACAGGCATGCACCACCACGCCAGGCTAATTTTTGTATTTTAACAGAGAAGGGTTTTCGCCATGTTGGTCAGGCTGGTCTCGAATTCCTGGCCTCAAGTAATCCATTCATCTCAGCCTCCCAAAGTGCTGGAATTACAGGCAAGAGCCACAGTGCCCAGCTTGTTTTTGAAATTCTATAGGCTTGATATTTTAAAAAATAATATGTTGGAAAAAATAAAGTTTGATTTGGTTCTAAAAATTTGTTCAATAAATTATTTCCTATAATTTATATATACGCATTATATTATATATATTATGCAATCATTGAAGTCAGTTTTCATATGGCAGCAATAGGACAGTAAAACTGAATTTCCCTCTAATTAACCTAAAGATGTCATTCAATTATAATAAAAAAACAGATTTCTTTTTACAACTTGAGCAATCAAATATTAATATTTGAGGAAAAGGATATAAAGAGTTGCATTAGCCATGCTTATATGTACACAGTCTTAGACAAATTATTATTACTAAAACTTACATGTTTTACAAATAGAAAGCCAGTATATGCACTGAAAATGTGTCCCAGAAAATTATGGACTGTGCCAAAATGATGTTAGAAGCAGAATAGTCTTTGAGTGCTCATCTATTCTTTGATTAAAATACCCAACTTTTTTTCAGTATCAGTGAGTCAAAATCACTCTTAATAGTTTATGTTTAACATTTTGTTGTTATATTCAATAATAGTCCACATATTATAATCAACATTTTAAATTCTATTTATATAAAAAGATAAAATAACTGATATAAATTTTACATTCAAATTTCTATGGCTCCTCCTTGTTTCTAATGTAGAAAGAAGGCATTTTCCTTTCAATTCTGGGTACTTCTGAAACCCTATTTCAAAGAGCATATTTTGTAATTTAACTGTTGAAATCTTTATAAATCCTCAGTGATTGAGACGGTATTAAAAGCTCCACCAAGAACTAAAATATCCCAAGAAAAATTTCCAATTACATATTGGCCACGTAGGTCAGTTTATAAGCAATTGCTTTATAATAGCAAATGGAAAATAAACTTAGTTACTGAAATAATGTAACCTAGAATTATGAATTAGTAAAGAAACCAAAAGTACTTGTAATAAAAATTTGAAGTGAAAACATTCATAATTCATGACTGTTCAACCTAGATAGGCCCTTGGAGATCATGTAAACAACCATTTTAATTTACTGATTAGGAAATCAAAGCCACAAAAAAGTTAAAAGTTTTCCCCAAGATAATATGGGAAGCTGTGTAGTAATAGAGCAAAGGCTAGAATACGGGTTCTTGGTGTTCTTACTCCCTCATGATCTAAACTTGTTTCTCAATTTTTCAAATTGCAGATGGATGCAAAATAACAAATACCTATTGGAAGTTGCATAGTTATGCCTCCTTTTATTAGGAGAAAAACCCAAGTATAGTATGACCAAACAGGTAAGGATTAGTTCTAGTCAATGAGATCGCCTACATAATATACAGACAGCTTACCCTAATGAGAATGTGTTCACTAACAGCTGGAGAGGTCTCTCTTCTTCTTCTCACATCTAGTAAGTGAACGAGAGGATGGGCGGTCATTCCATACAAAATGACAAAGCAAAAAACCACATCTCTTTCATACTAAATTAGTACTTAAATATGTCCCTGGTGTGGGGGGCGTGTGTGTGTGTGTGTGTGTGTGTGTGTGTGTGTATTGTGTGTTTTAATCTGGAAATGATCAGAATGGAACTTAGAGCATTATTGTGAAGTCCTAATAAGGGAAAAGGAGTCAGGCTGGTGGGAGCAGAGGACAGAAAAAAGAGAAAGTAGATCAGCTGTAAGTCTGGTTTTCTTCGTGGTCCAGGACACACAGCCCTCCTGAACAAATAATTCACAATTTGTCTGCACCCAGCTATCACCAGACACCTTGGCTGATAGAAAAATGCAAGTTAGCTCACTGTCACCTTGGCGTTATCATTACTGCATGTAGCCCTCTCTGGCACAAGTACCATTCTATAAAATCTCCAGCAAGCTTTTGTCTCTTTGCAGTCAGCTCCTTTCTTTATGGTCTTCCCATTGCTTTCTTGCAACATATTTTCCTACTTTCTCTAATAAATCTCCCTTTCTTTACCTACAACTGTATGGGTAAATTCCTTTACCACCCACATCACCCGTCTCAGATAGTCGCTACCCATGAGAATTATCTTAAAATTCAAAGGGATTGTTCAGCATAAACTAATGCCAAGGGAAAGTGCTGTGATTTTTTTTTTCTCACACAGATCAGTGGGAAAAAAAACATATATATAAAATGAAAACACCAGGTCACATAAAATCGGTAATAAAAGTCTACCACTATGTTTCAAAACAGAAGTAATTAAATCACAGAGCCAAAGTGCTGTAACGGATTTTCATTTTAATGTCTTCCAATTTCCTCAAGCACATCATTTTGTCCTTATTATTCATTATATATCAAAATGGGATTACACTCCTATTGGTATATTACTTTAAATTTGTCTTAAGGAGGATGACAAAAGAAGCAAACATTCAATATTAATAGCCATTCATTAAGTTTTGGCACAAGATTTATTGAACATGTATTATGTGCCAGATTCTATATTACGCACTGGGGTTACAATGGGGAACTAAAGTCGAATGGGTCCATAGGCTTATAAGTCTTACAGTGTAGTGTAATGTTTCGGGGAGGTAGCTATTGGTGAAATAATTATGTTAATGAGCAAATAAATACAAACTGAGAAAAGTGTTCTGAAGGAAATAAAGCAATTTTATGAGAAAGCAATATATTTTAAATTGAAGTTTAAGTAAAGTTTTCTCTAAGGAAGTGACACTTGAGCTAAGATCTGAAGGATGAGTGACATTAAGTACATGAAGGGGAATAAACCATTTTAGGCTGATGGAGTAGGATTGGTAAGGCTTTATGGTAGGAGAACACATGACACATTAGAGCAACTAAAATCCCTTTGTGGCTAGGTTGTAGAGTACGTGGGGATTATATTATTAACAGAACTGAAGAGATAGGCTGGTTAGACTGCACAAAGCTTAACAGGTCATGTTATTTTTTTATTTACTTTTTACTAAGACTAATGCTTAGTAAACAGTAAAGAAAGTAAATAAAGTATTTTAGCCTTTGTTTTTAGTTGTTGTCTTTTTAATGACATGTGGATGAATAAATTCAACTATCTCCAACAGAAATATACAAAAAAATAAAACTGAAGTGGCTTGATCAGATTTGTTTCAAAAAGATCACCCTAGCTGCAGTGTTTTTAAAATATGTTGAAAATAAGCCATAATGAATATGATAAAAATATTTAGGAAGCCATTTTAGTATTCCAGGTAAGAGATGGTGACACATTGGGCCTGAATAATGGCAGAGGAGATATAGAAGAAATTGACTTAGTGACCAAATTGACATAGAGGAAGACAGTGTGACAGAGATAGAGGTATAAAGATGATGCTAAGATTTCATATTTCAGCAAATGAGTAGGAGGTGGTAAAACTAACCTAGCTGAGGTAGACTCAGGATAGGAACCAAGTTGGCACAGAAAATCAAAAGTTCATTTTCAGAAATAAAAACTGTAAGATGCCTATGGTATATACAAGTGAGTATGTCAAAGAAATGGTTATCGATATATGCTGGAACTCAGAGGAGATATTTGGCCTGGAGATATATATTTGTAAGTCATATGTGTACAGTCAGTAAATAAAGTTGTGTATGGATATGGGTGAGGTCTTCAGGGGGAGGAAAAATTGAAAAGAGGAAAGGATCTAGAGCTAATTCTTGAGGAACTCCAACATTTAGTGATATAGTAATGAGAATAAGCTTTCAAAAGAGACAGCAAAAGAGGAAGCAGAGAGGTAAGAGGAAAATAAGAAAGTGGGTTGTCAAATAAAGATAATATTTCTAGAAGGTAGGAGGCTGATTCATGTGAAATGCTGCTGAGAGCAATACTAGGTGGGAGGCATTTTTGTGTTGTCACAATGGCGCCTACTACTGCCCACTAAATGTGGGCAGGGGTCAGGAATGCTAAACAACAAAGAATTGTCCTGCCCAGAAAGCCAATATTGACCCCATTAAGAAGCCCCTTGCTATGGTCTCAATGTCTCCTCCAAAAGTTATGTTGAAACTTATTTGCCCTTGTGATGATATTAAGAGGTAGAACCATTTAGAGGTGATTAGGTCATGAGGGCTCTGCCCTTATGAATGGACTAATGACATTATTGTGGGAGTGGGTTTGCTATCATAAGAGTGAAGTTTTGTAAAATTGAGTTTGAACCTCTCTGTCTCTCTCACTCTTACTTTCTTTTCTGCCTTCTGCCATGAGATTATGCAGCCTAAAGGTCCTCACTGGATGCCAGTGCCATGCTATTGGACTTCCCTGCTGTCAGAATTATGAGCCGAATAAAAACTTCTATTGTCTATAAATTACCTAGTCTCAGTGCTAACACAAAACAACGTTAAACACCCCTCATTCTGAGGATCAGAAAACCAAAAACAAGAAATTTTCTAATGCCAATGAAGTAAGTTTTACAGAATTATGACTCAAGTTCAGATTGCCTAATTCTAAATCCATGCTCTTCTACTGTATCATAACAGCTACTCAAAAATGAGATGATATGTGAAATTCAAAAAATGTTCCTAAAGTAGTCAAAGTCAAAATAAAACATCTTAACATATGGAGAAATCCTATATTTTATATTTTTAGTGTTCTCTGGGAATGGGAGAGGATAGCATTTTAAATTGTCTTCTCAAATTTTTGTGCCGACAGGCACCTTTACTATATTTTTAAATGTGATTATCCAATTCCCCGATTATCTACAAAAATGAGCGCATTGCCTAGTCTGCTATTAATAATGATAGGAGATAAATTCAAAGTATCAGAAGTCTTACATTTAACATTTTTATAATAATTATACTGATTAGGTCATAAGCTTATAGAAGCCAAAGTCAGTGTTTATTCTGTCTACTTCTATATTTCAAGCACTATGCATGCTACTCAGAAAATAGTTGTTGCTCAATAAATATTTATAGAATACATCAATGTTAAGTAACATAATAATAAAGCAAAATAATAGATGTGAAAGCATCTTAGCACAGTGTCATGCAATTACGTAGTCTAGGTAAAACTTATCTTCTAATCTGGCTCTTAGTTCACAGTTTCAAAGGCTCATTTGAATTACACTTATCCTTATAAGATCAGAAGAGAGAGAGAAAAAGTTGTACAAACAAACAGCTCCTGTCTACCAAACAACTGCTATTTCTACCGGACTTGATCCACAGACTCTGACTTTTCCTTTGGGAAGAGGCTCTCAATTCAAAGCAAGGAGAAGGATAGGGGTGATACATTCTATATATAACATAATTCACTATTAAAGAAATTTGACTACCATTGTATGTCATTTTGAGAGTACCAACGTAATTTATATTTATTCTTAAATCCTTAATTAAAGAGATTAACAGACTACATAGTCTGAATTCATTTAATTCCTAATTTTAAGGATACATGAGTGTACTCAGATAGCTATATAGTAAGTGGAATGCAAGTTGTGCAGACTTTAAATGCATATTTAACAATACCATTAAATAAACTATCAGCAAGGATGAGTGGTGAGTGATGTTTGCCGCTTCATCTTCTGTAGACACAGAGAAGAGAAAGTAAGAAAGGGCTTAAGAGAGAAAAGGAAGGGAGAGAGAAAATGGAAAATTATAAATTGTCCAAAATATTGTTTTGTTTTGGGTTTCTAAATCAAAGTATGATTGAATTAAAATTAATTGAAGGAGTTGAAATTTGTCCTAGACTGTACATGTGGGAACAAGGGCTTTAAGGAGGAAATCTATCAGTCTAGGTAAAAAACCTGAGGTGTTATATGAAAAAAAAATATCTGCAAATAGACAACAAAACCAACTGCTTTCAAAGCATTTAGAAAATATGTCCTTATAAAGCTGCTATTTTCAGTTTGTTTCAGAAATGTGGAAGGAAGCAGCTAATAACTTTCATTGTTAAGTTTGAAATTTAAAAAGAAACTAAGGGCACCCTAGCCCCTAATCAGCTCTTCAATTCTCTGAAATGACAGAAATGTTTTACTGTGACTCCATTTTTTTTCCTTAAATGCACCAAAAGAGCATCTTGCCCCAAGAGCTTTCTTTCCAATTTGGAACTATGCAATTTTTTGTAAATGCATTTGAATTGCCCAGTCAGGGGATCATCCTATTCACTTGGTTTCCAGAAGTAATTTTGTATAATTCTTGCTTTTTAGGTGACATTTGAGTTGTGAAATTTTGCTAAATTCATTCTGACATTTGAAAAATTATCATACAATTGTTTCATGTGATAGAAGCACATCCTTTTAACCATGCTTATCATGGGCAAAAAGCTTCCCAGTGCAAGGAGGTCTGCTAATGACCTGGTCTTTTAAAAGGCTGACTCCTTATTTCCATTTTTAAACCAATTCACTTTACTTTCCATCTTTACTTCCCTTAATTCATTTCACTCAGTCTACGAACGATAGGTCAAAATTAATGCTTCTAAACACAAAGATGTCAAATCAACAAGACTCAGTGACATCTCATACAATTCCCTTTATGCCTTTGGTACTATTATACACTGCCCATTTAATGATGTAAAATGGCGTCAAGACACAAAATTTTATTCCATATGAACAAATCTATGTGGTAACTAGCATATCTAGTTAAATGAAGTATACATTAAAGCCACAGTTTAATGTATATCTACATATTATATATAACATGTTATGTATAATATTGTATTACAATATTATAATATTATACATAACTTGTTATGTATAATATTGTATTACAATATTATAATATTATACATAACAAGTTATGTATAATATGTATGATATATACACACATATATATGTATTTTGTGGCTCTACTATTATGTATGTCCATAATTTATATCCTTATTGCATATTAATCATATTAAATAATTATTTATTTGCTTATTTCACAGACGTTTATTACACATTTTATAGAACCTAGACACTGTATTAGACACTGAGTATATAGTGGTGAATAAGCCATGTATACGGCCTATATTCAAGAGACAGACATCACAGAAGTGGAGAAGAAAATAGGTAAAGAATAATTGAGAGAGAAGGAGAGAGATGGAGTGATACATGCTATGAAGGAAATAAACAACCTAGGGTAGAGTGATACGGAAAAACAAGCAGGTGGAAATTTACTTACATATAATGGTCTGGGAAAGCTTCTCTGAAGAGGTTATATATTATCTGAGACTTAAAACTACATAACATTGATTAAAGAAATAAAAGAATACATAAATCAGTGAAAAAAATTTTCTGTGTTCATAGATTTGAAGTATTAAAAATGTTATAACGTCCATACTACCTCAAAGCAATCTATGGTTGAATGCAAAACCTATCAAAATACATATGGTATTTTTTACAGAAATACAAAAAAAATCAATCTTAAAATTCCTGTGGAACTCCAAAAGACCCCAAAAGAAAGTGTCCTAATTTGTCAATATGAAAGACAGTAGATACTTCAGCAAAGGATAGTTTTGGTGGAACAGTGAGGGCAGAATTTAGACTGTAGTTAAGTAGAAAAGAAGTCAAGATAACGTGAAGATAAATTCCTTGAGTGCACTCACTCACAATAACAGTAACAATAACACCATACAGATATAAAGTGCTTTAAAATTTATATTATTGTTTAATCTTTATAACAAAACAACTCTGAAATACAGGTCTGTATGCTTTTTCTACAAATAAGGACCCTGAATAATTGTTGACATATGTAGGTTAGAAAGATAGTTAGGAATAAAGTTGTGATTAAAATCCAGGTCTTCTGATTTCAACTCCAGTCCTCTTTCTTCCTTAGGAAGAACTGAGGGAACCAGGAATGGCTAAATTATTACAAAGTGATCTTTGCTATATCACAGAAAATAATTCAGAAGATTAAGTTTCAGAATCACACACACACACACAATTTGAAAGACATGTTCTACTGATGCTGGGCCAGGCACTCATCCGCCTGAAGCACATCATGATAATCAATCTCCAATAAATAGAATACAACATTTTACCCTTTTGCCAGTGTGTCTTCAGTCTTAAACAAAACAAAAATTTCTGCAAATATTTTAACCACTAGATGGTGTTGGAATGACACAAGAGGTTCTTTTGTACAATTTGTCTTCAATTGAAATCATCCGAAAACTCCCACACCACCTACCCGAAACATCTAAGCCCCACCTAAACTGCCTGATCAAACTCTTATAATGGATAACAGCATCATGTGAAACAATTGGAGAAATCTAAATGTGAAATAATGAAGTTTCTAGGAGTAAAATGCACTTGAATACTTGGACAATATATAAAATTAAAGAAGATATGAGTGTTATTGATAAATTATCATCTGAGACAATAAAAATTTAAAAGACGTGAGAATTGTAAGTTAAAGTAAAGTATTACTTCAAAATGACTTTGAATTTAATGACATACATTAAAGTGAAGTCAGTTAATGTTTACTTAAAAAAACTGATGTTGGGCTGGTTTAATATAATTCACTCATTTTAAAAAGAAATAAAAATATATGTCGAATCTTAATCAGAATCATTAACAGAAAAAAACAATAAAAAATAAAGTAGCTAAAAATTATCCAATTTAGAGACATAATTATTTTGCTTTAAGGGAAGTCTGCCAGAATCATATCTCCTGACTTGCCTTACCCTACCACACACACACACACACACACACACACACACACACACACACACACACAAATATCCACCATTATTCTAGTTAAAATTTATAGCCAGAATATCAAATATCATCTCATTCTCTCATTCAGTTACCCAACATCTTTAGATATTTTTTCCAAGATTCGGTCAACTAGCTTTACAGAACTGAGGTGCAGGGATGTGACAATTCAAGACAAGTGTTAACGTGCACAGGCCAAAGAAATAATCCAAGAGAATAAATGGCTTACAATTAAAGTCCAAAAGCATTTTATTTATGTCCCCTTCTGCCCCCAATCCCAACCTTACTTTTCAAGTAGCTAAAATATAGTATTTGTTGTGAAGCTATTGGTGTCAACCACTTGAGTAAATGGCACCTCCTCCTATTCTCCTATTGATTTAAAAGGAAATCCTATCTCAGCTTTTGTAAATGTCCAGTTTGAGTTATGGCAGAAGCTATTTCAGATACTGTGATTGTCTCTCTTAAAACTAAGCTACCTCCATCTCAAGGTCTTGAAAAGGAATGTTGGCCCATTTGTTTCCATCTAAGTGGAAGATTTCAAATTTCACTATTTAATAGTTTCTTTATCTGTTAAAACAAAAAAAAACAGTAAAGAGGATTACGACTATGTTTGCTGCAATGAAGAGCTTCTTTCTGGAAAACTCTGGTAGCAGGAAAACAAGGTAGAAGCAAATTGCTCCCCCCAGTACCCTATAGGCTATAATAAATGGGTCCTTTCTGGTGATTGAATTCACATCACATTTGTTAATTAAGAAAGTCAGCACAAGAATGCCTACATTTTCCAATAAGAAGAGGATCTTAGTAATTAATCAACAGAAGGAAAAGCATTATAAATGTGTTGTAATAAATTAGTATTAAACTAGATTGTAATTCCAAGGATTTGTGATAATTTAAAAACCTAAACCAATTAAACCTTTAAAAGTTTATTCATAAAATTACCTTCAAGGAGTTTTCTTTAAATAGCTGTGTTTTTTTAGTGGTGTTTTGAGTTTTGCTTCTTATTGTTATCATTTTTTTCCCGGTTTTTTTTTTTTCCCAAGATGGGGATTACAAGCATTGCTAGCATACCTTTCCCACTTGGAAGGACAAAATAGTATGTAAAGATTCACATTGTGAACTTTTTTTCAAGAACCGATGCAGGCCGGGCGCGGTGGCTCACGCCTGTGATCCCAGCATTTTGGGAGGCCGAGGCGGGCGCATCACGAGGTCAGGAGTTCGAGACCAGCCTGATCAACATGGTGAACCCCGTCTCTACTAAAAAAAAAAAAAAAAAAAAATACAAAAATTAGCTGGGCGTGGTGGCTCACGCCTGTAATCCCAGCTACTCAGGAAGCTGAGCCAAGAGAATCCCGTGAACCTGGGAGGCGGAGGTTGCAGTGAGCCCAGATTGTGCCACTGCACTCCAGCCTGAGCGACAGAGCTAGACTCCGTCTCAAAAAAAAAGATAATAATAAATAAAAAGAACCAATGCAGTATCAGAACAGGAAATCTGAAGGAATCTACAGACCCTTTGTAGGAAGCAGGAGGCTTCAGCCTACACTGTGAGTCAGGCAAGGGCTATGAGTCCTCAGAGTATGAGGTGGAAGAATTTGCCTCTGTTATCAGGCTTTTTTAAAGAATGAAAACGCTGAGGCGGGAGAATCGCTTGAATCTGGGAGGCGGAGGTTGCAGTGAGCCGAGATCGCGTCACTGCACTCCATCCTGGGCGACAGAGCGAGACTCCATCTCCAAAAAAAAAAGAATGAAAACGGCGTAACTCCCTTCTTTAGTCTCATGTGGATTCTCTGGAATATGGAATATTCTGCAAAAGCAATCTCCACAAACGAAAGGTAGCATTTCTCTTCAGTCTTATAAATACCACTAAGATGATCCAAGCTAGTGAACTAAAAGCTACCTAATGTGACCTGTGTTGATTTTCAGACTTCCAGATATTTCAAAGCTTGGAAGAAAAGTGATTTTTCTCTTGCCATCCAGGGTCCAGAGTTCTGAGACCCAAGTCTCTGTTAAAGCTTTTTATTGCTCACAGTTTTCTATGATCTCAAAATCTGGCCTTAACCAGATAGAAGTATTTTGTTATGTACCAATATAATTTGAAGGGCACCAGTTAAATCATTGTCCCACAGATCTCACTCCTAGTCATGAGTTATATACTACTTGAAGTATACACTACTCCTTTTCTCTCTCTTTTCAATATGCATCACGTTTTGCACATTTTATTGCGAATGTTTATCACATGATTTACTTAAAGACCAGAAAAATCATGCAAGGTCCCTTGACGGGTGGACTGAAAATAGAAATCTTTACACAAAATTTGAACTGAAGTAAGCTGTCCAAAAGACAATTTAGCCAAAATTTTATTTGGGTGGAGTAAAATTACATATTTTCTTTCTTTGAGTATGTGTCCATTTGGAGTGCCATAGGAATAGTCCTGAAGCCCTTTGTGGATGATTAAGAATTTGTGTCTATTTTTCAAAACATTTTAATTCAATTTAAATATTTGGCATGGTGCCAGAAAATGAAAACATAGTCAAACTATTCTAACAGGTATAACTGTCTTAAAACAAATATAAGCTAAATTCACCCAAAATTCCAGATTTTTACATTTCCTTTTAAAAAAATTCACTTGGTCTCCTTAGCTCTTTTAATTCCCATTTTTGTTACTACAAAAGTAGAGGAAAGCAGAGGGCTCTCTCAGAGAAAAATACAAATATGCAATGGAAGAACATAATACCCATAGTCCCGTCCATCTGGAGAAAACTATTGCTAACACTTTGGAACAAAACCTTCCAAAGCCAAATATTGTTGTGTTTATATTATTATTTTTAGTAGTTTAAGTACTCCTCTATTTCTGAACATTTAAGTTGTTCCAACAAATGCCTACACATAACATTTCCAATCACCCTTATTCTGTATTGAAATGACCAGAACTCAATGCTAGTGACAATTGTAATTTGGGACCAAATTACAATTTGGGCTAAACAGACAAGTCAGCCATCACACTTTTGATCAAATTACATTTAGTCAGCTTAGGTGTATGTCTTGTTTCAGCCAGTCAAATATTGACAGGATTCTGACCTTTCATTTTTGCTTACTGCTGATTCTATGTAGGTCTCCAAACCAAAAGGATTGAGAATATTCTGATGCACCAATGACTCTACCCTTCTAATTTAATAGAATTGCAAAAATATCATTTAATATGGCTCCAGTCCAAAGGGAAAAAATACCATGGCCTCGTACGGCCTGTACTCAGCTCACCTCTCCCTCCCCGCCCCCCACCATATCTAGGCACAGCATTAAGCTAAATCGCAATGCCAGGTTTATGAAGTTGCAGGCACCCCTGGACTATATTATGATAGGTATTTCTTCCTCTTCTCTCCTTACGCCACAGGCAGTGAATATCTACACATTACCGTTTAGAAATAAAATGGCATTAGAAACAGGATCTGTTTTATCCCCTAAATTTTCACACAAACCTATATATAAATCTATAGAAATCTTTGCCTTTATGTTGAAAGCTTGCTCTTGTTAGGTGTTAACATTTTATACAGAAACCTCCTCAATTATCCCTGGCATTTTTCTTACCTGTCAGCTATAATAGCATATAGACACAAAGTAGATTTTTTGTCCGATTTTATTTTAAACGGTATTTAGGAAACAAGAACATTTTACAACCCTGCTTAGAGTTTCCAGTGGCTCAGAATAAACTAGATACAGCCTTCTATGAACTTGTATGACATTCAGCTGGTGGTTTTACTATAAATGGCCAACCTAAACACATGTTAATGGATAATAAAGCATACCCTGGGCTGCCTTATTATTCATTCTTAAAATCCTAAGCATTTTTTCTAATGTGCCTCTCAGTATTGCTAGAGTAAGTTTCATAGTCTCCCAGGAAAAATCTGCAATGACTCTGTTCATTTGTGAAGGAGGAGGGAAATAGAATATAAATGTCAAGAAAAGATTATAAACTATAAACTGAATTCCTATTCAGCCTATAAAATGTGAGATTAAAAAGAAAGACAGCTCAATTTAACTAGCAATGAAGCCGTTATGCTTTCAGGATGAAAAAGGTGCTACGTATGTGTATATCACCTCATTATGAATGGCATTTTTTCAACGTACGGGTTGGACTGAGAAGAGGGTTTAGCTGCAGCCAACAATAAAGTCTTATCGCAGGGTTGGTTTGGGGGCACCATATGTCACTCAGCCTGGGGCAGGATTTGAAGAAAAGACACAGACAGTATGTATTTTCCTGCTGGGGTCAGCATTCCCCAAGATACAGTCAGTACTTCAACAGCACTCATGCAGACATTATCAAGGTGCATACATGTATGTGTTAGGATGGGAAGTTGAAACAATAGTGTTGAAGGCAGTGGTAATTTTTACTCCTTCTAAGTCAGGGTGAAGTGGGAAGATGTAAGCCTCAGAAAAAGAAGAATGACAGGAACTGCTCAGTTCTCATTTTAGCAATAATGGTGGTATTGGATACTCTTGGTAGTAGTACTAGGAGCATCCATATATTTGTTCTATTATACTATAATAGTTTTGGTATTTGTAGTAGTAGTCACAGTAGCAGCAGCAGCAGCTTAAGTCGTGGCAATAGTAGCAGTAGTAGAAAAAAAAACAAAAACAAACAAACAAACAAACAAAAAACCTAACATTTACTTTGAGCTTACTATGTACCAGGCTCTGTGTTAAGCTGCTTGTATTATCTGCATGTAATTCTCACAATAGCTGGCAGAAGAATCTGGTTTACAGATTACCACTCTCGAAACATTATTACCACTCTCCTTTTACAGTTGAGGAATCTAAGGCCTAGAGTGATTCTGTAACTTTCTCAGAGCCATAAGGCTAAAAAGGGAAGCTAGGATTTGAATTTAGGTAGTCAGTTTCCAGAGACTGCTTCTTAACCTTACTATTACACACTCCCTACGTAAATGGAAATATAACATAGTCTGCCTATGAAAAGTAAAGCAAATATAGTATATTGCAATTTTAATTTATTTGCTTCTGATGCAATCCTAAGTTTAGCTGGCATATTTTTACACAAACAACAATATTTGCCATACCTAATGCTCTTCAAAAAAGATAAAAAATGACAGTGAAACAAATGTAAGGTCAATTCCATTCATGGTTACTTCCAGTGCTAGAAACACCAAGGAAGATGAAAATAGGAATGTGACTAACAAATACTGATCCACATCTTCACAAAGTACTTGATATTAGTATGGTACTTCTGAGAAAAGTTAGCTTCCACATAGCATTTCATGTTCATAGCACAAGTAATAATTCTGAAGAAAAAAGAATGTGTGAGAGTAATATTTGCATTTAACTTTAAGGAAAAGTGATCACACTAACACTCTTGAAGATTAAATTGGATTTCTGGTACTCATGGTGCCTTACTTTGTTCCATATGTAAAACATGCCATTTTCCAAGAATTTATACAATAACACTTTAAGACTATTAAATGTTTAGTTTTCTAAATGAATGACAGTTTCTATATCCTTTTGTGGGCTGAGAACTACTTGTCTGCTTTGTTTTATCTGTCCACCTTAAATAAGGTTGCACCGACAGATTGTAATCATTTGTTGGCAGCAAATCAATAAGAGGTAGGTGCTAAGAAGGAGAAATACATTCTCGTAGCCTCTAAAGCACTGTAGTATTATTAATAAAAGCAATATTTCATGTTCAGGGAAATTTTACTGTTTTATTCTATTTGCTACACTTTCAAAATTGTGTTTTTATCCTCCTAATAATCCTTCCAAAGTCCCTTAATAACATTTCAATGCACCTTTCAATCCACCAAAATGGCTTCTGGTCTACAAGGGTTTCTTCCTGCTCTTATTCATTTAGGGTTCAGATATTTAGATATTTTTCTAATTTCCGGTGGGTGGGCAGAAAGAGGCACAAATGGGGAGAATACTGTACATGGGATGAGCAACAATTTGTCACCTCTTACACTGAATTATTTTTAAATTATTCTCTACTGAAGATGTGAGGAAGGGTGATAGCAACTCACCTCACTGCGCTCATTTCAGAAGCTACAGTAAAGACAAATATTCTTCCACCTCTAGTATAACCCTTTAAAAATGAGAAATTCCCAGAAAATGACTCATTAAAAGCCAGAAGGATAAGAATGTTAAACTAGGAATCTGAGGTATAAACTAAAGATATAAGTCAGGGTTGTCTAATCCTCAATTTTGCCCAGAGCCAACCCAGGATAAACAAACAACTTTAAATCTTGTAATGTGGCACTCAGAACATAAAAACCAGGTTGCTAACCTTTAGCTTAAACTAATCTACCCTGGAAATATATCCTGAAAATGGCCAGAAAATTACCATACATAAACCCCAAAGCAGAAGGTAAAGCGGTGATCAGTAAAAACACAGTTTCCAGTTTTAGCTCTAGCTAAACCCAGACTCACAAAGGGTCTCTTGGAATAAATTACTCCTCTTCAACTTTTTTAATATCAGTAATAACCTGTTGATATTTTTACTTAAAGTTACTGTAGGCTGTCTGGGATTGCTCCACTCCAATTAAACCCATGGAATCAGTTAGAAGCAAACTTACTTGAGACAGCCAATTATTTGAAAATGCTATTTGATAAGCTTAGTCCTTGTTCTTTTTTAACCGACTGGTGAGGAAAAAATATACATATCCATATTTATATAAAATTATGGCTAAATTTGTTAAGTGCTTATTTTTTGATGAGTATATTTTCTAAGTGTTTCATCTATTTTATTTCAATTAATTCTCAGATCCACCTTTATGTAATAGACACTCTAACTACCTCCATGCTACATATGAGTAAGGCATGGAAATTAAATAACTTGGTCAAGTCACAAGGCGAGGAAGTAGAAGAGCTGTCTCCAGGGCCCACATGCTTATGAAACTGCCTTTGCAAAATTATGACTGAGCCAGTGAAAAAGATCTAACCTAGCTGGCTCCATCTTGCTTTCTAAACTTTAAGCTGTCCTTTTTCATTCCTGCGTGTAGGCTGAAGTAACTTTGGGAGAAACTTAGTTTATAGTTCATAGTATAAAACAAAGATGGTAACAGTCCTTTTCCAAAACAAACCTCCTTCTTGCCTGGGAACTAGAATGCTTTTGTAGGACTAACAAATTAGCCATAAGGTTAGAAATTATGGTTTAGGGGTCATACAGCTAGAGGGTACAAGATTCTGACCCTCCCTAAACTGCTTCTAAATCAGTGCTTGAGTTATTTTGCAGACTCCGCACTTGATAGATCAACTGGCATCACCCAGATCGATTAACTGGCTCATCTGACCTTGTGGCCCCCACCCAGGAACTGACTCAGCACAAGAGGACAGTATCAATTCCCCATGATTTAATCGCCTACCTAACCAATCAGCACTCCTGGTTTGCTGGCTTCCCCCAACCCACCAAGTTGTCCTTAAAAACTCTGATCCAATGCTCGGAGAGACTGATTTGAGTAGTAATAAAACTCTCATCTCCCACACAGCCGGCTCTGCGTGAATTACTCTTTCTCTATTGCGATTCTGCTGTATTGGTAAATCGGCTCTGTCTAGGCAGCAGGCAAGGTGAACCCACTGGGTGGTTACACTTATATAATTCAAATAAACACAAAGTATTTCATTTGTGTGAATGATGGTTTAATGCTTTTCAAGTATAACATGTTCAGTCAACATGATGTTTTGCTTTTCCACTTCTTGAAAGTTAGAGTCACATTTTCTTGCTGACTTGCTGTTTTATGTTTTCTTTCATTAGCTGGGTGCGTAAATTTTCTGACATTCGGCATCAGTCCAGTATAACCTACCTCCCACTATTTTAAGAAACATTTATGGCTATTTCTCTTTGGAAGCAAGAGGAGAATATAAGAAGCTTTTGTTTCACAGCAGTTTATAAAATGATGTTTTCTGGTTATTGTTTCAATTTTTGAAGATATTATTTCAAAGTATTTGTTACACTCAGAGTCAGGCATTGTTACCAATGTATGTCATTTTATCTGTTAAATTGCATTTTCTCTCTTATCAGTTTAGTCCTAAAGTAATGCCTCTCCTGTCAAGCAACTATGATGTTGCTTCTTTGTTCTCTAAATAGTTTAGAATCTCTTCCAAAAGCTAGAAGAGTTTCATGATGATAGTGTTCCAGGACTATATTTTTAAAATGTTTTTAATTGCAGTATTTTCATTTCAGCCTCAGCTACTTTAAGTAGATAGGCTTGGTCTACTAGTAAGCAGCCAGTCTTCCAAAAATGTGATAGTCAACAATCTGCTCTCAATCTGTTACAGATTTTTTGAGTTCAGTTGTAGTTCTGTGTGCAAATTTTGAAGAAGGAATCTGAGTTCCTGTTACAAATGTGTCACATAAATAATGTTTTTATTTGGCCAGTGAAATTTTATGTATTTATTTTTATTTTTTAAAGTTTCTGGAAAATATTAAAATATTCAAAAAATAATGTGGGCATAAAAAGCCTTAAGTGAATTGTCAAGTGCTAATTAGTCTCCAGAGAATTCATTTCCTTATTGTTTAATGATGTTCAATAATATCTTCTAATAAATGGCATTTGGTGACTTGACAATTACCATCAATTTCTTGTTTTCCCACCTGTTATCATACAGGCTTCATTTTTTATTTTCTCTTCTGTAAAACAAACAGAAAGAATAAAGCAGTTCAGTAACTACTAATATCCATTCTCTTGGGTAAATTTGTGATTGTTTGAGAGAAATGGAATAATAAAATCCTCAGAGAGCAAGCTTCACATTGAGCAACTGCTGAAATTCCTGAAATACTACATGTTGCCTGGTGTTTTTCAGCACAGGATAGTTCTTTGTTTGCAGTTTTTAATCACTGATCACCATGGTCCTATATGATTTCCCCTCATGACATGATTCCTGTTCTCAATCACTTTATGATCTAAGGTGACATGACATCATCTTGACAGTATATATATATATATGATATATGATAACAGTGTGACATATATGACTATATATATCATATATATCATATATATGATATATATATTGTATTTCTAACTTCATATATATATATCATATATATGAAGTTAGAAATACAATTTGCATGTATTTTTAAAATTCAATTGTAATTTTTCTATTTTTTTAAGTACAGACATACACATTTTCTGTCTTATAACAATTGCCAGACAAAAGATAAATGAAGTATATGTGGTTTTAAGTCTCCCACAGCTCAAGTATTCTCTAATTCTTTTGCAGAAATGTCACCTTAAAAAGGTTTAAGAGAGGTGCAGATGAAATATCAATTGTGCAAAACCAGAGATATGGTTAATTCATTTCTTTTAGCTAGGGAAATAAATAACAGCTAGTCAAAGTGGCAAGGTCAGGTAAAGAAAAGATATTCAAGTAAAATTTAGGGATAAAGCAAGATTAAAATGTATTTTGATTTATTAACTATTAAATATAGCATGTGCCTAAAACATTTGAAATTGCTGATATTTGAATGTTTACTATATTAAAATTACTTATATATTATTCCATTTAATCCTCACTATAACCTCACAATAATAAATGAAGTGCAAATACTAACTGGGCCTAAATTAATCATCAACTAGTATGTTGCAGAACAGAGATTTGAACTGAGCTCTGACTGATTCCAGAGCTCATGGCCTTTCCATTACACAATGCCACTTCATTAAAATAGACAAAAATTATTCTATATAGATATGTTTATTTTCCATATTAAAAATAAATTGTTAATATCCTTCTAACAACGAGTTGCTTAAGCCCCCTAAGTTTGTACTTTATAAGAAAAAACAAATATCTAAAACACAACAAAATCTATGATGAAATATAAGACACATGTTCTATTTTATGCAGTCTGTGTATCTTATGATTTCCCTTTATACAACAAACTCTATATGGTGCAATAGTAAATTGCTTTGAAATCAAGTTATAACTATTCACTTTTCTTGGTAATGGCTAGAACTAGAATCTATTATTTAGAATACTTGTCAGAAAGGTCTGTGTCAATCCCCAGTGATAATCAGACATGGTTCCTGTAGCTCTCCACGCAAAACAAATGAAGCCTGCCCACGTTAAATGTTGCTTCTTATAATTTGGCACGTTCTGTGTTCTAATTTGGTAATAATTCTCATATGCTTTATGAGGCCTGTTGTTCCTACCTTTTTCATTACTTTTCCCTCCACTATCAGATGGTGCCCCACGCTTGTCATATACAACAGAGTATTTTTATTCATCAGACCCTCACCTTTGGTTGACCTTTTTCATTTGTAGTCCTTTGTCTTTTCACTGTGAAATTCCAAAGCTTTGTTTTAACAAAACTATTTTTATAGTAGATAAATGTGATTTATTTAAGGATAGCCACTTAAGAACCAAATAATAAAAGTGAAGGTTTTAAAAAAGATATTATAACAAAGATGTTAAAGAAACTGAGAACAGCTTTCTATTTAGACCATTATTCAACCATCAAAAGATCATTTTTTTTTTGCTTTCACCCATTACTATATAATGTGTTGAAGTATAACAAAGCTCTCATAATGAAAAAAGAGTGGTACCTCTGTAATTTTTTAGGATAGTACTTCGTACTTTAATTTGGGCTACTAGGCATTTTTAATCAAGCTATCAAATAATAATATTCCCACCAGCCCCCAAAATATTTTACCAGTCTAACTTTTCTCTAAAAGGCACACATAAGACAATTAATACTAATAATAAATGAATTAATAAATAAAACAGATCTTCAATAAATATTTGTTGTCTATTTTATCCTAGTTACTGAGTAAAATAGAGACATACAGAAGTCATTGTCACTGTCTTGCAGGAGCTGACAGTCCTGGAAGGTGGATGTAGATAAAAAAAACTCCACATATACAGAAGATTTTAAAAAATTAAGTGCTTTATGGCAAGTTTCCAGAAGATTTAATGAGTACCTGCTTACAAGTTGTCCTAATCACTTAAAGTAGTTAATTTGAATCAGAAGCTCTGCAGTATCTAATGACATTGAAGCTTGAAACAAATTATTGTGGAAGGCAAAAGGAAGAAGCAGGCAGAAAATGCTACAGCCTCTAGGTCTTCAATGTTGAGGGAGGTATAAAGCCAGTCTCCTTTTCTTTGTCTACCTACACCTTTCCTGCTATTCTTTCAGTTATCAAACCCTCCTTTCTCCACAGGAACTCTGGCCTAGATCAAGTAATTACTGTGGGTAAATGCTCTTAGTCGTTACATACACTTAAGCACTTCCTATCCTCCTTTGTTGTCAACTTATTATTTCATATATGTATATCTTTTCCTCAATAAGTAGATTATAAGACCTCTGAAAGCAAGGACCTTATTTTAAAATTTTTTTTTATGTCTTATAACGAGAACAATGCTAAGTGTTTAGTAGCAACTCATAAATACTTGTTTGTTATTTAAATGAAAGTTTTATTTCTGGAAAGATGAAAAAACAATTGATTAGAATTCACTGTAGCCCTAGACACTTCCAACCAGTGGGACTATCTAGAATCCAGCAAGAAATAGGTTCCTAATGGCAGAAGCCAGACATAAACATAAGGTGAGAGAATCAGGGCGTGTCTTAGCGAAGAGTCTTTGAGATACCAATTGAATCAGCTACACGTATAAAGGCCCCTCCTCTGCATAATAGCAACCAATCAAAACCAAGTATTCTTTGTTTTTTTAACTATACTAAAATGGAGAAAATGTATTTATGGCATTATGCATAATTATGAGTTATGAATAGTGTTAAAATTTATAAAAACATATAAATGAATTATTCCTTTACAATGAAGAAAAGCAAAAAATATATTACAAAACAAAATATTAATTTATATTGAATTTAAAACATAATTCAACATTTTCCTGTGCAAATAATGTTTCTCTTTAGCCTCATTCTAGTATAGCTAAAATAAAGGAAAATCAATAGCATTTCTATGTGTAAACAGCAAACATGAATTGGAAGAATCAATATTGTTAAACTGTACATACTAGCCAAAGCAATCTACAGACTCAAAGTAATACCTATAAAAAATTAATAACATCCTTCGCAGGAACAGAAAATGCAAGTTTTAAATTTACATAAAACCACACAAAGACCCACAATAGCCAGAGAAATCCTGAGCAAAAAATAAACTCAGGGCATCACATTACCTGACTTCAAATTATACTACAGAGCTATAGTAACCAAAACAGCATGGTACTGGCATAAAACCAGACACATAGACCAATGAAACAGAAAAAAATCCATGCATTTACAGTCAACTTATTTTCCACAAAGATTCCAAGAATATACACTGGGAAAAAGACACTCTGTTTAATAAAGGTGCTGGGAAATCTAGATATCCTTATGCAGCAGAATGAAACTATACCCCTATTGCCATATACAAAAATCAAATTTAAACGGATTAAATATTTAAATCTAAGATCTGAGACTATGAAACTACTTCACAAAAATTGGAGAAATGCTTCCCAACATTGGTCTTGGCAAAGATTTCTTCAATATGACCTCAAAAGCACAGGCGACCAAAGCAAAAATGTACAAATTGGATCATGTCAAGCTAAAAAGCTTCTGCACAGCAAAGAAAACAATTAACAGGGTGAAGAGACAACCTAAAGAATAGGAGAAAATATTTGGAAACTATTCAACTGACAAGGGGTTGATAACCAGGATATATAAGGAACTCAAACAACTCAACAGCAAAAAATACACAAATAATCCTATTAAAAATGATCAAAAGATCTGAATAGACATTTCTCAAAAGAAGACATAAAAATGCCCAACAGGCATATGGAAAATATGCTTAGTATCAGTAATCATTAGAGAAATGAAAATCAAAACCACAAGGAGATACCATCTCATCCCAGTTAAAATCATTTTTAACAAAACAACAAAGTAATGCATGCTGGTGAGGATGTGGAGAAATGGGAACACTACTAGGTTTCTTAAAGAACTAAAAATAGGACTGCCATAAGATCCAGCAAGCCCAGTAATGGGTATATGCATAAAAGAAAGTAAATCAGTGCATCAAAGAGATATCTGCACCACCATGTTTATGGCAGCACTATTCACAATAGCTGAGATTCAGAAGCAACCTAAATGTCCATCAATAGATTAATGGGTAAAGAAAATGTGGTGCATATACACAGTGGAGTACTATTCGGTCATAAAAAAGAATGAAATTCAGTCATTTGCTACAACATGGGTGAAACTGGAGATTATTATGTTAAGTGAAATAAGCCAGGCAAAGAAAGACAAATATCACATGTTCTCACTTTTTTGTGGGATCTTAAAATCAAAACAATTGAACTCTTCTTGGCCATAGAGAGTAGAAAGGTGGTTACCAGAGGCTGGGAAGGGTAATGGGGGGATCGGGGAAATGTGGGAAGGGTTAATGGGTATACAAAATAGTTAGAAATAATGTGTAAGATCTACTATTTGATAACACAACTGTAATAACTTAATTGTACATTTTAAAATAACCAAAAGAGTGTAATTGGATTGTTTGTAGCACAAAGGATAAATACTTGTGGGGATGGATACCCTATTCTCCATGTGATCATTTCACATTTTATGCCTGTATCAAAACATTGCATGTACCCCATAAATATATACACCTACTATGTGTCCACAAAATTAAAAATTAAAAATTAAAAAATAAAAAGAACAGACAGAATAAACACCAGGTTATTATCAGTAGGTAATCAAACTGTATAGTCACAAGTTAAAGCAATAAATGCTTTACATTTAAATCATTTCACATTTTTGAGAATATTGAAGAACAGAGATTTTTATGCCTTTACACTAGTGAAATTTTAAACTGTGGATGAAAATTTTTTGGATCAATATTAAAATATATATTATTTTGTACTATTGAAACCTAATTTTAGGCAGATTGATATCATATCATAACCTGAGGGGGAGTGGGGGAAAGAGTTCATCACAAAACATTTAAGCCCAATGCTGCAAAAAGTCAGTGGTTGCACTGGGTTGTAATTCTTAGATTATTCATGAGGAATTCAATCAACCGAAGTTAAAAAACAATGTACTAGTCAAGCATAAGGTTTGCCTAAAAGGACAAGTTATAATTAAGCCCAAAGTTTTTCAATGTTTGGAGAAAAGAAAGTTTCCAGGCTCAGAGAAGGATGGCCTTTATAGACCTGTGCATAAACAAGCCATTTTACACTGGTCAAAGACCACTGTTATGTGGTGCTCTACCTGAATACAAGCTTTGCCTTATTGCCATAAAAGGAACAGAACCAGGCTGCTCTGGAATTGAAGCTAAGCCTTTCCTTTCTCCTTTATAATGGATTTCTTACTCTATTTTTTAAATGTTATAGCAATATATAGAAAGAAAAATCCGGGAAAGATATTCACCAAAATATTGCTCATGGTTTTTTCTTTGTGTGTTTATTTATAAATTATGTGTTTTATTTTTCCCAATTTTATGAATGTTTTGCAATGAGCATGAATAACCTATAAGAAAAAAATAAATTATTTTTTCAAAGTTAGTAAGACATACACAGCTGGCAACACTATAGGCTCTAGCTCCATGGAAGTCTGGAATAAAGAGAAAATCTGGAAGGCGGAAATGAATGATTTCTGCTCATTGTGTTTAGTAGATTACAAGGCTTAAGGCTTACATAGTCTTAAGGGTGAACAAAATAACAATAGACTATTGAGCTCTCATAATTGGCCAGGTCCTCTGCTAAGTCCTTTATATCTCATTTGACATTCGCAAGGCCACACTGCTAGTAAGTAGTAGAGCTGGGACTTAAAGCCAGATCTGTTTAATTTTAAATCTGATGGTTTTAACCACTATCCTAATACTACCTTCCCTCATCTCTACCTCAGTTGGAAAACAAAACAAAAAAAAACTCTAGAGGGTGACTGTAGTTAACAATAATTTATTGTATATTTTGAAATAACCAGAAGAGTAAAATTGAAACGTTCTTAACACAAAGAAATCATAAATGATTGAGGTGATAGATACCCCAATTACCCTGATTTGACCATTACACATTGTATGCTTGTATCAAAGTATCACATGTACCCTATACATATGTGCAACCATTATGTATCCATAATAATTAAAATTTAAAACTTAGGAAAAAACTCTAAGCTTAATCACACTTCAAATCATTTAATTGTAATGAATAATGAACTATTTTCTCAAACACAAAAATATTAAGATATTTGTTCTGCAATGCTTATTTCATTTATTGGAATACATTCTGTAACCTTCTTACTCCAACATTTCCAGATCTTATCCACTTTATCCAGTTGTTGCTTGATTACAATACATACACAGCTACATACATACATAAAAATAGAAATCAATAAAATACAAAAACAACTACTAATGAATGATTATTTATTTGTAACACAAAACCATATCTGGTCCTTAGTTGTACTTCACATTTCTAAGGAATTAGATATGAGAAGTCTGCACATTATACCTTTATTACTTAGAGGAATTCCAAAAGACTGTTATTTAGAATTTAGAGATCTTAATGTTACGAATGGTGGTTGTATTCCTGGACCATCACAGAAAATCTATTTAAACCAAAACATAGCTAGTAAGCAGTACTAGGCTGAGCGATACATCCTGGGAGCTGGAGATCCTGCAGTTCTAGAGGTATAAGTTTTTCCTTTGGTTTTATTGAATAAAAGACTAACATGGAGCAAAATTTCAAAATCATATGTTTTAAGTCATCGACCAACTGCATCTTCCCTGGCTGTATCATTTTATCTTTTTATAGTACAAAAATCCAAAGTCAATTTGGAAATGCAAGATGCCAATTAAAGTTTTGCCTTTTGATTACACTTGAATAATTGGTTTTAACCTTACGGAGAAATGTGGTTAGTCTAATAGATTCACTGTTGAAGACTTTTGTAATCCCCATCTAGCAATCCAAGATGGTCAAAACAATAAAAAACATTAATCAAACTTCTTTTCTGTGCCTTTTCAGCAATAATTCTCTAGAAAAAGTAAAGAGCCTACCACCTACATCAAGAAAAATGAGAATTATAAAATTGCAAATCTTTCTGAGTGCCATTTATATAGTAAATTTTTTTTCAAAAAATTACTCATTATCTACGCAGTTCCTCTAGAAAATTACAACAAAACAAATTATTTGTACAGTATTAAGTATTACTACTCAAAGTAGCTTCCTCCAACCATTCTCCATTTGCTCGAATCGTATTCATTCTTCAAAGACCAATTCCAATGTTTCCTTTTTTGTAAAGCCTGCATCACTCATAGAAATTTATCTGCAACTATAGCATGACTCTTATCATATCTACCCTGTATCATAGTTTCTCATATAGATGTTTCTCCCCTAAAAATAATAGCTAGTATTCACTGAGCACATCTTTTATAGCAGGAACTATTCCTATCACTTTACATACAATAATTTGTTTAATCCTCATGGCAATTGCAACAGTTAAGCATTATTTATCATGCCCATTTTACAGATCGGAAAGAGAGATTACATAATTTACCTAAGATTATGCACCTAGCAACAATCAGAGCCGAGATTCACACTCACAAAACCCAATGTCTTAAAATCAGCAGTATAATCTACCACCTCTTACCCAGACAGCCACTTTCTAAGGTTGACTTTGGCCTAAATCAATGCTTCTCAAACTATCAGTAATGAGAGACCAGTTTCTGTTAAGTACAATGAGAACAAATTACTAGAAAAAATAAAATATATAAAATACAAGGTCCTATGTATTATATTTAACATTATTAAACACTATAAAAGTTTTCAATATCTATACTAGCCAACAGTTCATGGACCAGCACAGGTTCAAGAAACAGCTCAAGTCCATGGACCACAATCTGAATACCATTGGCCTGGATCACTATGAAGCAACTCACCCTATCATAGTACTTTGTATTAGGCTATTATAGTCCATTTGTGCAGAAGTCATAGCAATGCATGAACTCCGTAGTTCATGCATGAAAGAAAACCTAATATCCAAATAAGATTTAAAAAGTCATAGCTTATTTCTAAGTCCTTTCTCTCTTCATTGAATTAGGCTTTTTGTGCCATATTAATGTTTTATGTTTGTTTCTTGATGAATTCAATAAGATTTCTCAAAATCCTTAAGACTAAACTTTGAGTTTTAATGAAAGTTTCAAGTACTGATTGCCATATGAGTAAAAGAGTTTATTAGCAATTAAATTTTAAGATAAAAGGTCATGTCTGTCATTGATTCAGTACACATCTTTGGGAAGTTCACTTTATCTTCTTAAATATAAGATACTTAAAAAAGTTATCTACTCACTTCAGGGATTCACTTATCTATAGGGCAGGCTGTGTGTGAGTCATAAAAGCATGCTTAATACAAGTACTTTCTTTTATAGGAGTGGCCTCATGATGTCTTATCTAAAATTTTCCTAGTCATTCCAGCAGTTATTTGTACATTCATTCAAAAGTGACTGTAGAGCCCCCACTGTGTGCAACTCTTGCTACAGATCTTGCTGCTCACATGATTCCCAGCAAAAAGCAGTTGTTCTTTCCTGAGGACATTCTTGGCATTACAGTTCCATAATTGAGCAAGCAGAATGGGTCAGAGAAGCTTTGCTAAAAACCCATCCAGCAGAAAATATTTTATTCTGGTCTTGGAAAATCGGACTTAAAAAGTGGAGTTGAGCAGGAGCAGCTTTGTGATTCCCTATTTGATTGTTTGCTCTTATATTAGTGACTAAATAGTACAAGTATCACTTCAACTACTCTTCAATAAATTTCATAAGAAGTACAAAGAAAATAATATTTTATGATATTCTATAATTCTGTTTGATATTTTAATGAATATTTTCAAACTAGTAGTATCGACTATGAAAACAAAATATGGACTATAGCTATAATTTATGATTTTATTTATTTTAAGTAGGAATTCACTTGAAATTTAAATTTAGTATTTAAAGTATGTAACTAGGCAAGAAAGTAAATAGAAGGTACTTACCTGGAAGCTACAGATAACAGAGGTCACAGTTGCCAGATAAAGCCATCTGTGTGTCAATGGGATAGAAGATAAACTCCTTCCAAAAGTGAAAGATCTCTATGCTTCACAGACATATAGTGTTATAGCAGCCAAAATTAATTAACAAATATCGTTCTCCTATCATTCTGGTAGGCAACAATAGCAAAATATCAGTGTTCTCTTTTTAAAAATTTTCAACTTTTTTTTTAGATACAAGGGGTTGACATGCAGGTTTCTTACATGGGTTTATGCACCCAGATAGTGAGCATAGTACCCAAAAGGTAGTTTCTCAACCCACACTCTTCTTCCTCCCTCCCTGCTCTAATAGTCTACAGTGTCTGTTGTTCCCATGTTTATGTTCATGTGTGCTCTTCCTGAATGAAATACAGATCAATTTGAAATGTGGAGAAGCAAATTCATATATGTCAAGCTTTAAAAAACAACAAAATGTAATAATAATAATAAACATATTTTCAAGTTTTTAAATAAAAGTCCAGCTTTGGATATTAATCTCAAAAATCGCATAGAGCTATTAACTTATAATGAGAAGATATGATGTAATTTTTATTATAATAAAAATTTGTGTTTTATACATAAATTTTATATTTAGCATTTAGTGATGCTGATGGGTGGATTTTTTAAACCAAAAAATGTCTGAAATAGAAGGCAATTTAATGTAATACAGTTTATTTTTGAAATATCTGTAAATGTGCACTTACTGACTTCAGAAACAATGCATTATTGAAAAGGAACAAAATGAGTTTTATTGTGAATGCAATATATCACTGTTAAAAGCAGCCATCATTAAGACTGAATGCTTTATGGTTTTAGGCTGAAAACACTGCTCAATCTCACAGTTCTCCTAATAGAGTTTTAATTATTTTTCACACAGTGAGGTTGCTTCCTTACCTTCCCTGCCTCCACAGACACCACAAAATCTATGATGACACTGACCATTCTGACAACCAATAATCCTTCAAGTAGAAAATGATGCCTACACAGATCATTTCTAAAAAAGTGATCAATGCTTGAAGGAATACAAATGTTTCCTCCCTCATCTTTCAAGTTATTGGACAACAGAACAAAACGGAAGAGAAATTTTTCCCGAAGTAATACGCTACAACATATTTTTGTGTCATGCTTAACACAGTGATTCAATCAATACATAACTACAGAGTGACTACAAATTACTTTTCATATTTAAATTGCATTCAGTTAATACATTATTTCATTTTATTGCTCAACAATCATACTTTGAAATAGGTATTATTATCGACATTTAACAGATAAAATAACTAAAGTTCAAAAAGTTTTGGAGGAGGTTTTCTATTTCCATCACAAAAAGATAAAATTTTAATTTTACAAATTTATTTAATTTCTTGAGTCTATGAATTGACTGTTGGCTAAATTATTTTATCCATTTTAATTATATGTTCAAATATCTTCATTAGATTCTATCTGCTTTGGTCATTTAGGTGACCCAAATGTCAATGCTCAATTTTTTATCTAGTGTTTTCAATCTAATTAATTCTCCAATTAATAAAATGTCTTAGAAAAGTTTCTTTTAAATATTTAAAATGATGTTTGTGTTCTTTTTCTTCAACTACATTCAAAATAATTATACTTTATGTAAGACAGATTTCAACACATAAATATAAAATTTATATAGATGTATGTTTTTAGAAAGAATATTAACACAACTTTTAAATAACTGAAATACACCTAAAGCTTAAGGTAAAGATGGTCTGAATAAAAACTAAGCCATTTAATGGATCTTTTAACTTATATCCATAGAAAATGAGGGGAAGTCTACGGCCATACCACCCTGAATGCACCCAATCTAGTCTGAAAATGAGGGAAGATATTTTTTCGCTACCTTCTGTAGTCAAAAGAAACAAGGTTATTAGATTATAGCCCCAAAGGATACTCATAATCATAATCCAAAATAAAAGATGCTACACTTATAAGAAAGTTAAGCTTCTCAAGATTTTCAGGGGAACCAACTAGATTTGACAATATTGTTTTCCCTATGTTTTATTCTTTCAGGATTCAACACAGACATGGCAACAAACGCCATATTGTCAAGTCATTTGAAAGCCCAGGGTGCTCAAAAGAAAGAAGCTGCTTAAAATATACCATTTAAAAAGCTCTGATGGGACTGTTTGTTTGTTTTTTCTTGCTGATTTGCATTCTTTGTAGATTCTGGATATTAGTTATTTGTTGAATATATAGGTTATGATGATTTTCTCCCACTATGTGGGTAGTCTGTCAACTTTGCTGATTATTTCTTTTGCGGTGCAGAAGCTTTTTAGTTGAATTAAGTCCTATCTATTTATCTTTGTTTTTGCTGCATTTGCTTTTGGGTTCTTGGTCATGAAGTTTTTGCCTAAGCCAATATTCAGAAGGGTTTTTCCAATGTTATCCTCTAGAATCTTTACGGTTTCAGGTCTTAAGATTTGTCTTAGATCCATCTTGAGTTGATTTTTTTATGACGTGAGAGATGAGAAATCCAGTTTCATTCTTCTACATGTGGCTTGCCAATTATCCCAGCACCATTTGTTGAATAGGGTGTCCTTTCCCCATTTTATGTTTTTATTTGCTTTGTCGAAGATCCAATAAGAAATCAATACAGCAACTGGTAGTCCTCATTGAATGCATAGTTTATAATATGCCACAGTTGGAAAAACTGTTCTTCTCATTTATCATAAGTTTCAAAAAGCATTGTTTTGATTGGGGTTCTGAGCAGTAAGAAAGGGTGTTCTAATTGCCTCCTATTAGCCCATTTTTTAGGGAAGACCCTAGGGCTTTGGGCATGACCAGATACACAACATTAGACAGATGAGATCAATGGAAATTTATTAGTCACATGTACTCATAGCCCAAAGGAAAAGAACACTACACATGACTCAGGGCAATGTTGCGATTGCACTTGGGAACAGAGTGAACAAGAGGGGCTGTGGAAGTCAGGCTTCGTAATGTAAAGAAGGTGAGGTGGCTCCTGGTTCTATGAGGGGTTGGCATTGATTTGTTTGAATAATTTGACAGAGAACTGAAACCTGCTACTCTGGGACAAGCAAGAACTGTGCTTAGTCCCTTTGTTAAGGAGGGTGGTCTTTCTAGGAGATGTTATCTGCAGTGACAGAATAGGGATGAAAATTTTGCAGTTAGGCCTTTTGATGTCCTTCTGGTTTCAGATAACAAAGAAGTATATAATATTGGGCCTTAATTTTATGCCTTACATCACAAAAGCCTCTTTAAAAGAATCAGGTGAAAGCTGTCCTGTTTCTCAGTCTATATGACCTAGTAGATTTGATGGTTTTAGAGGCATCTGTAGTGGATGAGGATGCTATGTGGATTCTCCAGTTAATCTCAATTGAACAGTCATAGCACAGATCTCAGAAAGCAAGGTCTTACTTTCTGTAGCAGAGCACTGCTTTTTGGAAAAGCAGACCCTAATAGAAACTGAGCACATAACTAAGGGACATCAAGTGACTATGCCACTAGATCATGAGCTGGTTATTATCAGATTTACCAAGTCAACAGCAATCCATTATAAAATAGACTGTTTTCAAGGTCTCAAGTAAGTTATGCAAGCAGATAGCCCAAACTATATGTCACCTTCCTCTGTTGCACTGAAGTGTCTTCCTCATATGGGGTTCTCCATGAGCAGCTGTCAGAAAATAGGGGAACTATTCCAGGGCCTGGCTCACAGTTTGGTAAGCTCAATACTCAATATGTATTGTAAACCAAAAGTAGCCTGCTACTGCCTCTGCATGACTTACACATGGATGTCTCTAAAGGACAAAAGTAGGGAGGTTGTTTTAACTAGTACACCTGGTTATAAACTTAGTGTATAGTTAATTAATTGCAATAATAACTGAAATGATTTACCCTGTTGTTTCTGACTTTTCAACTCCTCCCATTAAAAGATAGTGTCTATTTCCCCACTCCTTGACAATGGGTGGGCGTGGCGATTTGTTTGATTCATTAAATGCAGCATAAGTACCAATTCTGGGCCTAGTACTCAATAAGCTTCTCTTCTGTCTTTCAGAACCCTGGTATCACCATGTGAAGAAGTCTGAGACAGTCTTCTGGATGATAATTGCCATGTGGCTCCAACTGCCCTAGGCAACAGGCAACAAACTACCAGACACGTAAGTAAGGCCCTCCTATACCAGCCATCTCCCAGCTGTTCCACCAGTTGACTGCAGGTGCCTGAACAAGCTTGGATGAAATAAACCAACGCTGATCCAGGAAAACAGAACTATCTAGCTAACATTTTTTTGGGTTATTAATGAAAATACAAGTTTACTGTTTTAAGCAACTGGGTTTTGAGGTGATTTATTTTGTAGAAACAGCTAACTGATACAGCCTAGAACAAGAAATGGCCAGAAGCGTGGATAGCCATAGATGTCTGGGTGGTGTTAAATGTACTCACTGGATCGTTTGAAATCTAGAAATAGCAAGACTGAAATTGGAGACAAGGGGGTCTAGAGTAGCAGTACAGGGATGACCTATGGAATGGGTGAAGGATGAAGTTTGTGACAAACATTAATGTTAAGGAGCTCCTCAATATCTAAGAGAACAGGATAATTTATCCTACGGATATCAGCCAGCCTCTCACCTAAGCTACCCCAGTGCTTTTTTAATGGTACATTGAATAAAGTGGCTATGGTAGCAGAAATAAAAGCTAGGCATGAGTTTCCCCTCACAAAGGTTGATATAGCTACCTCTATGCTGAATGCCCAATCTGCTAGCAGCAGAGACTGACACTGAGCCCTTGATATGTATAATACCATCCAGCCACTTTGTTGCAGGTGAATTAAATTAGTGCTCTTACACCCAGGGTTACTAGTTCTACCACGTATCATATAATCTGAAATCAGCCCGCTTAGTTGAATGGCCTAGCAGAGACCCAGTGTAGGTTCTATTTGGGAACTCACTCTAAAAGGTTGGACCATGATGCTCCAGTATGTAGTATATTCATTAAAACAATAGTTGATATAATATGATTTTGTGTCCGCAGTAGCTGAAATAAATTGTTCCAGGCAACAATGGGATTGCCACCTCTCTCCAACACTTGTAGACTTTGGTTATTCATCCCTAAACCCTTAGACGCTGCCAGATTTGAGACTTTGCTTTCAATGGAGAATGCTTCTACAAAAGGAGAGTGGAAGGATGCCATTGAACATGAAGTTACAACAATCTGCCACTTAATTCTTTTGGATTTTTTATGAAAGGCACCAGAAAGCAGAAAAAAAAACAGTTAATATTACTGGGGAAAACTGACCCAAATCACCTTGTGGAGCTAGGTTTACTGTCACATGATTGAGGTAGAGAGAAATTTTTAGAACCCAAGGATACTGGGGTATTTCTTTGTGCATTCATGCCTCATGATAATGATAAATGAACAAATACAGATATCACAGCCTGGCAAAAGCAAGTCAACCAAGGGCCCAAAGCCCTTTAGGCTGAAATTTTTGGTCATCCCACCAGACAAGCAACCTGTAATAACTACAGTGATGGCTGAGAGTGAGGGAAAAATAAACTGCAGGTAGAAGAGTGAGACAATGAATATCAATATGGACTTTAGACCAGTTGCAACAGCAGGGACAATAGCATATTCCATTAATTGCCTTCATGTATTGTATTTGGTAGAGAAGGCAGTTAGCTACTTCACTAAAAATGTAGTGGAGGAAATAAGAGATTGTGAGTGGTGCAAAGGGCAGACTCTATAAAAGTCATCTTGAGCACTTCCTCACATTGTCTTGCCCTCATATCTGATTTGAGCCATACAGTGCCTAACAGCACTATGTGAGTTTCAATTTCACTTCATGCTGACAGCACCTCATATCCAGCTGTCCTACATATTGCTCAGTTTCTGTTTCAGGGCTTCTCTGACACCACATCATGGAATGACTATGGAATCTCACTCTGCATTCACACATGCTCAGTAGGAAAATTACTAAGGTTTAACACCCAATAGCCCAATCCTCAACTAAATACACATCAGAGGTCAATGGACAGACAATATCCTTTAGGCAAACCATTCTGAGGTGCATTTTATATGTCTCCTCACAAGAGTCCATCCAGACTGAACATCAGTTATCCATAGCAGCAGCAAACATGATTCTGCATAATGATAATGAATTTTTCTTCTGTCATGTTTCAATCTCCCTGGTTCTTCACTACCAGTATCTGAGATAACTTTGCAAACAAACTATGTGCATGCAAAGCTTTTGAATAAGGCTTAGCTTTCAAGGCAATCCACAATAAAACATATGTGTTTTGTTCTGACTGTATTTTTTCCTTTCCTTGTTCCTTCTTGTATCAGGGGAGGGATGAAATTCAGTACTGAAAAAAGAAGTTGCTTTCAGACAATTAAACCTTCTTAGTTTTTTTTTTTTTCCAGAAACCTGAGGTGATTTGGCTTGGAAACAAATAATAGGATGTATGATTTTGAGGAGAGAGAAGCAAGGGCAGCAAATGAGAGTGGAATTTCCCAAAACCAGAAAGGAGATTATCAACTGGAGTTCCACAAGTAGCAGAGGACCTATGCCCTGTTTTGGACCTATGCTCTGTTTTCTCTGAGTGCCTTGGAAAAATGGCATGATCTGGTAGGAGTAAGGATATAATCGAGTGAAAACACCTAGGGAAGCTGAATCTTAGCCACAACAGCTTCCAAACTTGGCAAATAGTCATGCTAAATTTGGATGGAAATACAGCAGGTCTTCAAGGTACCATATCGATTCAGACAGTGAACACTTCAATAGCATTTATGATGAACAAAGGACAAGATTTCCAGGAACCATATACAACCTATGATATTTGTGAGATTCTAAAGGAGGGAAAAGGTCCTCGTATACTCTCTCTCTCTTTCTCTCTCTCTCTCTCTTTCTCTCTCTCTCTCTGTCTCTCTCGCACACACACACACGTACATGTGTGTACATACACATGCAACACCCAGTGACAAAAATTGTTTGGTTAGGAAGGAGCCTCAAAATCAACTTTAATTTGATTTTTTTAACTAAGTGATGTGATATTTATTGCAAACCCATAACTGTATTTGCAAATTCATACCATCATACACCCCTCCTGGCTCAACACAGGGCCTAGGCTCTCCTTATATAGGCTGTTTCTTCAGGCATATGAGCGTACTTCTACACACGCATAGAGGTGGGCCAAACAGAAGTCAAAATGTACTCAAATGTTTCCCAAAAAGAGATCAGGATTGAATCAGAGATATTCATGACAAAAGCTATATTATTAAAATAGATAAAATTCATCTCTTAAATCATAATGCAATGTTTATAAACCCATACTCCCAAAATACTTAGAGATAAAAACATGCTATTTTTTTTAGAGAGAGATGGCGTCTTTCTCTGTCACCCAGGTTAGAGAGCATTGGCACAACCATAGCTCACTCCAGCCTTGACCTCCTGGGCTCATGTGGTCATCCTGCCTCAACCTCTCCAGTAGCAGCTGGGATTACAGGCATGCACCACAATGCCTAGCTAAACAATAGAATTTTAAATAGCACATGGATCAAGGAAGAAATCTCAAGAGAAATGTAAAAATATTTTCTATTAAATGGATATGACAATAGAACATATCAAAATATGTGAGATGTAATGAAAGCAGCACTATGAGGGAAATTTATTGCATTAAATGCATGTATTATAAAAACAAAAGAAGTATCTAAAATCAGTCTTCTAAGTTTCCACTGTAGGAAAAAAAAAAGAAAATTAAATCCAATGTAAGCAATAGAAAAAAAAAATAAAAGAGTAGAAATCAATGAAATTGAAAACAGAAAATCAATAGTGAAATCAAAAAAACCAAAAGCCGAGTCTTTCAAAAGATCCAAAAAATCAACAAGTCTATAGCTGACCTAAGGAAAAAAGAGAAAAGACACAAATAACTCATATTATAAATGCAAGAGAGGTCATCACTATGGATCACATGGACATTAAAAGGATAATAATGAAATATTAGAAGCTCAATTTCTGCAAAACTGATAAGCTATATGTAATGAACAAATTTTTCAAGAGACACAATCCATCAAAACTGGCACAAGAATAGATTGTATGAATAGGTTTAGAACTATTAAAGAAATTGAATCAATAGTTAATAACCTTATGAAATAGAATGCTTCAGACACAGATAGGTTCACTAGTGAATTCCACCAAACATTTAAGGAAGAACTTATATCAATTTTCTATAATCTCTTCCAGAAGATAGAAGGAGAGAGAATTTTTCTTAACTTGTTCAATGAGGTCAGGATTACCAATACTAAAACTGGACAAAGACGTTACAAAAACAAAAACAAAACAAAAACTGCAAACCAATATGTCTCACAAAATACCTAATACCAATTCTCAGTAAAATATTAGCAAATAATAGCTAAGAGCATATAAAAATACTTATACACCACAACCAACTGAGATTTTTTTCTGGTTTGCAAGGCTAGTTCAATATTTGAAAAACAATGTAATTTGTCACATCAACAGATTAGAGAAAAAAAATCACATGATTATACCAATAAATGTATAAAAAAGGTTTGACAAAATCCAAAACCCAGTCATTATTTAATAAAATCCTCAGCAAACTAGAAATAAGGGGGAGCTTCAAATCGATAAAGAATATCTAGAAATATCCTACAAATAACATCATAGTTCATTGATAACAAACTAGAAACTTTTCTAATAATACAGGAACAAAGCAAGGATGTACCCTCTCACTACTCCTTTTCAACATTACACTGGAAATACAAGCTAATGCAACAAGATTTTTAAAAAGGAAATAAACAGTAGAGAGATTTGGAAGTCTTTGTTCTTAGATGACATAATTGTCTCTGTAAAAAATATAAAGGAACTTACAAAAACAACAACAAAACTCCTAAAACTAAAAAGTAACTTTAGCAAGGATACAAAATACAGGGTAAATTTACGAAAAAAAAAAATGCTTTCTTATATACTAGGAAAGAACAAGTGGAATCTTAATTTTAAAATAACATTTATACTAGTACCCAAAAATGAAATACTTAGATAAACAAAATATATAGACTGCTAGCCAGACTAATAAAGAACAAGAGAGAAGAATCAAATAGACACAATAAGAAAATGATAAAGGGTATATCACCACTGATCCCACAGAAATACAAACTACCATCAGAGAATACTATAAACACCTCTACACAAATAAGAAAATATAGAAGAAATGAATAAATTCCTGGACACATACACCCTCTTCCCTAAATAGACCAATAACAAGTTCTGAAATTGAGGCAATAATTAATAGCCTGCCAACCAAAAAAAGATCAGGACCAAATGGATTCACAGCCAAATTCTACCAGAGGTACAAAGAGGAGCTGGTACAATAGAAAAAGAGGGATTCCTCCCTAACTCATTTTATGAGGCCAGCATTATCCTGATATCAAAACCTGGCAGAGACACAACAAAACAAGAAAATTTCAGGCCAATATCCCTGATGAACATCGATGCGAAAATCCTCTATAAAATACTGGCAAACCGAATCCAGAGGCATGTTAAAAAGCTTATCCACCACGATCAAGTCGGCTTCATCCCTGGGATGCAAGGCTGGTTTAACACACGCAAATCAATAAATGTAATCCGTCACATAAACACAACCAATGACAAAAACCACAGGATCATCTCAATAGATGCAGAAAAGGCCTTCAATAAAATTCAACACTGCTTCATGCTAAAAACACTCAATAAACTAGGGATTGATGGAACATATCTCAAAATAATAGCTATTTATGACAAACTCACATCCAATATCATACTGAATGGGCAAAAGGTAGAAGCATTCCCTTTAAAAACCAGCACAAGACAAGGATGCCCTCTCTTACCACTCCTATTCAACACAGCATTGGTAGTTTTGGCCAGGGCAATCAGGCAAGAGAAGGGAATAAAGCGTGTTCAAATAGGAAGAGAGGAAGTCAAATTGTCCCTGATGACATGATTGTATATTTAGAAAACCCCATCGTCTCAGCCCAAAATCTCCTTAAGCTGATAAGCAATTTCAGCAGTCTCAGGGTACAAAATCAATGTGCAAAAATCACAAGCATTCCTATACACCAATAAGAGACAAACAAAGAGCCAAATCATGAGTGAACTCCCATTCACAATTACTACAAAGAGAATAAAATTCCTAGGAATACAACTTACAAGGGATGTGAAGGACCTATTCAAGGAGAACTATAAACCACTGCTCAAGGAAATAAGAGAAGACACAAACAAATGGAAAAGCATTCCATGCTTGTGGATAGGAAGAACCAATATCATGAACATGGCAATAGTGGGAAAATTAATATATAGATTCAATGCTATTCCCATGAAGCTACCATTAACTTTCTTCACAGAATTAGAAAACACTACTTTAAATTTCATATGGAACGACAAAAGAGCCCATATACCCAAGACAATCTTAGGCAAAAAGAACAAAGCTGGAGGCATCGTGCTACCTGACTTCAAACTATATTACAAAGCTACAGTAACCAAAACCGCATGGTACTCGTACCAAAACAGATATATAGACCAATGGAACAGAACAGAGGCCTCAGAAATAACATCACACATCTACAACCATCTGATCTTTGACAAACCTGATAAAAACAAGCAATGGAGAAAGGATTCTTTATTTAATAAATGGTGTTGGGAAAACTGGCTAGCCATATGCAGAAAACTGACTGGACCCCTTCCTTACACCTTATACAAAAATTAACTAAAGATGGATTAAAGATTTAAACATAAGACTTAAAACCATAAAAATCCTAGAAGAAAACCCAGGCAATATCCTTCAGGACAAAGGCATGGGCAAAGATTTCATGACTAAAACTCCTGGGAAACAGCTAAAGCAGAGTAAAGAGGAAACTTTACAGTGCTATATGCCTATATCAAGAAAGTAGAATGATCTCAAATTAACAATCTAGCACTACAAGTAGAAGAACTAGAAAAACAAGAGCAAAACAACCTCAGAGAGCAGAAGACAAAAAATAACTAAAATCAGAGCTGAACTGAATGAAACTGAGATATAAAAACATACAAAAGTTCAAGCAAACTAGAAGTTGGTTATTTGCAAGAATAAATAGAATTAATAGACCATTGGCTAGACTAATAAAGAGAGAGAAAACCCAAATAAACACAGTCAGAAATGGCAAAGGGAATATTACCACTGATCCCACAGAAATACAAATAAATAAACCCTAAGAGACTATTCCAAATACCTGTGTGCACACAAACTAGAAAACTTGAAAGAAATGGATGAATTTCTTAAAACACACAACCTCCCAAGATTGAACTAGAAAGAAATTGGACACACAAACAGACCAAAAATGAGTTCCAAAATCAAAACAGTAATAAAAAGCCTACAATCAGAAAAAAAAGCCCAAGACCAGAGAGATTCACAGCCAAATTCTACCAAATGTATAAACAAGAATTGGTACCATTCTTATTGGTACTATTCCAAAAAATTGAGGAGGGAATCCAAACTCATTCTATGAGGCCAACATCATTCTGATACCAAAACCTGGCAGACACACACACACACACACACACACACACACAACTTCATGGCAATATCCTGGATGAACACAGTTGCAAAAATCCTCAACAAAATACTAGCAAACCAAATACAACAGCACATCACAAAGCTAATCCAACTTGATCAAGTAGGCTTCATCTCTGAGATGCAAGGTCAATCCGACGCACAAAAATCAGTAAACGTAATCCATGACATAGACAAAACTAAAAAAATAATTATCTCAAAAGATGAAGAAAAGCCTTCAATAAAATTAAATATCCCTTCATGTTAAAAAAAAAAAACCCTCAACAAACCAGACACTGAAGGTACATACATCAAAATAATAGGAGCCGTCTATGACAATCTCGGAGCAGTATCATACTAAACCGGCAAAAGCTGAAAACGTTCCCCTGGAAAACTGGAACAGAAAAGGATGTCCTCTCTCAGCACTGTTATTCAACAAGGTACTGGAAGTCCTACTCAGAGCAATAAGGCAAGAGACAGAAATAAAAGGCATCCAAATAGGAAGAAAGGTAGTCAAAATATCTATGGATTTCAGATGATATGATTCTGTACCTAGAAAACCTCTTAGTCTCTGCCCAAATGCTCCTTGATGTGATAAACAACTGCAGCAAAGTTTCAGGATAAAAATCAATGTACAAAATTGACTACAATTTTTATACAAGAACATGCAAGCTGAGTGTCAAATCAAGAACACAGTTTCATTCACAATAGGCATCAAAAAAAGAATAAAATACCTAAGAATACAGCTAATCAGGGAGGAGAAAGATCTTTAAAATGAGAATCCCAAAACACTGTTGAAAGAAATCAGATGACACAAATAAAAACATTCCATGATCATGGATAAGAAGTATCAGTATTACTAAAATTGTCATACTGTCCAAAGCAATTTACACATTCAATGCTATCCCTCTCAAACTACCAATGAAACTCTTCACAGAATTAGAAAAAAAAAACTACTTTAAAATTAATATGAAACTAAAAAAGAACCTAAATAGTCAAAACAATCCCATACAAAAAGAACAAATGTTGAGGCATCACATTCTAAGACTTCAAACTATACTAAAAGTCTACAATAACCAAAACAGCATAGTAGTGGTGAAAAAAAAAAAAACAGACACATATACCAATGGAACAGAAGAGAAAACCCAGAAATAAAACAGCACACCTACAACCATCTGGTCTTTGACAAAGTCAACAAAAACAAGCAATGAGGAAAGGACTTTTTAATTCAATAAATGGTGCTGAAATAACTGGCAGCAGAAGATTGAAACTAGGTTCCTTACTCCATATACAAAAATCAACTCAAGATGGATTAAAGATTTAAATGTAAAACCTAAAAGTATAAAAACCCTTGACAAAAACCTAGGAAACACCATTCTGGACATAGGGCCTGACAAAGATATCATGATGAAGATGGCAAAGGCAATTGCAACAAAAACAGAGACCTAATTAAACTAAACAGCAAAAGAAACTATCAACAGAATAAGCAGACAACCTACCAAATGGGGAAAAAATTTGCAAACTATGCATCTGAGAAAGTTCTAATATCCAGAATCCATAAGGAACTTAAGCAAATTAACAACAACAAAAAATGCTACTCCACTAAAAAGTGGACTAAGAACATAACAGACACTTCAAAAGAAGACATACATGCCGCCAAGAAGCATATGAAAAAATGTTCGACATCACTAATCATTAGAGAAATGCATATTAAAACTGCAACGAGATACCATCTTACGCCAATCACAATGGCTATTGTCAAAAAGTCAAAAAATAACATATGCCAGTGAGGTTGCAGAGAAAAGAGAATGCTTGCACACTTCTGGAGGAAATATAAATTAGTTCAGCCACTGTGGAAAGCAGGTTGGAAATTTCTCCAAGAATTTAAAACAGAACTACCATTTGACCCAGAAATTCCATTATTGGGTATATACCCAAAGGGACATAAATTATTCTACCATAAAGACACACATGTGGCCGGGCGCGGTGGCTCACGCCTGTAATCCCAGCACTTTGGGAGGCCGAGGCGGGCGGATCACAAGGTCAGGAGATCGAGACCATCCCGGCTAACACGGTGAAACTCCGTCTCTACTAAAAATACAAAAAATTAGCCGGGCATGGTGGTGGGCGCCTGTAGTCCCAGCTACTCGGGAGGCTGAGGCAGGAGAATGGCGTGAACCCGGGAGGCGGAGATTGCAGTGAGCCGAGATCACGCCACTGTACTCCAGCCTGGGCGACAGAGTGAGACTCCGTCTCAAAAAAAAAAAAAAAAAAAAAAAAGACACACATGCACACATATGGTTATTGCAACACTATTCATAGTAACAGAGACGTTAAATCAACCTAGATGCCTATGAATGGTAAACTGGGTAAAGAAAATGTGGTACATATACACCACGGAATACTACATAGCTATAAAAAAACAATGATATTGTGTTTATTGCAGCAACATGGATAGAGCTGGAGGCTATTATCCTAAGAGAATTAACACAGGAACGGAAAACCAAATACTGCATATTCTCACTTGTAAGTGAGAGCTAAACATTGAGTACACATGGACACAAAGAAGGGAACAATACACATCAGGACCTACTGGAGGGTGGAGGGTGAGAGGAGGGTTGGGGTCAAAAAACTAGAAATAAATATCAGGAGAATATTTGTAAATTCACAAATATGTAGAAATTAAATGGCACACTCCTAAATAGCCAATGGATTAAAGAAGGAATCCCAAAATGAGTTTGAAAATATCTGTAGATTGATATAAATGAAAACACAACATACCAAAACACTAAGATACAGTGAAATCTAAAGCTTAAAGGAAAGGCTTCTTTTTAATATTCCAAAAACAATAAAGATCTCAAACAAATACCTTAACCTTTCACCCTAAGAATTAAAAATAGAAAAACAATCTAAACACAAACCAAGAGAAGGAGGAAATAATAAGTATTAGTATATAAATAAATGAAATAGAGAATAAAAACAATAGAGAAAAATCAACAAACTCAAATGTTTGTTCATTGAAAACATCAAGAAATATGGCCAAACTTTATCAACATGGACAGAGAAAAAAAGGAAAGCTGCAAACTACTAACATTAGGAATAAACAGGGAACATTGTTACTGAACTTATAAAAATAGAAAAGATGATAAGGAAATGCAATATACCATATGCCAACAAATAGGTATCTTTGAGCCAGGACAATTTGACTAAGAAAAAAAAATAAAGTAATACAGCTTGTAAATAAGAAGTAAAACTACCTCTATTTGTGGATGACAGTATGTTGTAACTAGAAAATCCTAAGGAATCCACCAAATAATAATTAAAACAATCAAACAATTTGAACAAGATTGAACTTCAACAGGATTGCAGAATACAATACCAATATTGAAAAAAAAATTGTGTTTCTCTACATTAGCAGTGAATAATCTGGAAGTAAAATTAACAAAGAGATTCTATTTATAATACTATAAAAAATAAAAGAATAAGAATTAATTTAATGGGAGAATTTCAAAACTTATTTTCTGAAAATAACAAAACATTGTTGGAAGAAATTTTAAAAGACCTAAATAAAGAAAAAGACAATAGCTCATTCATGGATTAGACAGCTTAGTGTTTTTAACATGACAATACTCTCAAATTGAAAAGCAATCCATATCAAAATCCTGGATAGCATTTTTTTGGTAGAAATTGACCAGATGATCCTTAAATTTATATGGAAGTGCACAGGACTCAGAATAGTCAAAACAGCAATATTCACAATACCCAAAATATGGAATTAACCTAAGTGCCCATCAGTGGATGAATGGATAAAGAAAACGTGATACATAAACAATGCAATATCATTCAGTCGTAAAAAAAGAATAAAATCCTGTCATTTGCAGCAACATTGATGGAACTGGAGGCCATTATGTTACGTGAAGTAAGGCAAGCACAGAAAGACAAATATTGCATGTTCCCACTCATATATAGGAACTAAAAAAGTTTATCTCATGGAGGTAGCAAGTGGAGCATTGATTACCAGAGGCCAGAAGAGGAGAGGGGAGTGGAAGAGGAGGGAACAAAAAAGGACATAAGTGTATTTATTGCCACTGAACTGTATATTTAAAATGGTAATGATGGTACGTTTTAAAAAATTAAAAATAAAAAAAGAAAATGGAGGATGGAGCCATGAGACAAGGAATGTGGCAGCTCTAGAAGCTTGAAAAGACAAAATAAATTATCTCTTAGAGCCTCCAGAAGGAACACAGTCCAGCTAACACCTTGATTTTGGCCCAGTGAGACTTGTGTCAGATCTCTAACTTACAGAACTGTAATATGATAAGTTTGTAACACTTAAAAACTATATAATCTATAGCCTTGGAAGAAATATATTTGTAGAACAGAAGCCAGCAAATTATGTTTGTAATGGACTAGAGAGTAAGTACCTTTAGTTTTGTAAGTTACATGGTCTCCATTTCAACTACCCAACTCTGTCTTTGGAGCATGAAGGCAGCCATAGACAATATGTAAAGAAATAGACATGGCTGTGTTCTAATAAAAATTTATTAATTAACACTGAAAAAAGTCAAAACAATCTTGGAAAAGAAGAAAAAGTTAAAAGAGTTATACTTTATGATTTTAAAAGGCTGCTACTAAACTAAAGCAATCAAGACTGTATAGTACTGGCATAAAGAGAAACATATAGCTCAATGAAATGGAATTAAGAATATAAGAATAAAGCCTTCATATTTAGGGTACATTGATTTTCGCCAAGGGTGTCAGGAGAATTTAATGGGGAAAGAATAGTCCTTTCAGCAAATAGTACCCTAACAACTAGATATTCTCATGCAAAACAAGGAAGTTGGACTCCTACTTCATACCATAAACAAAAATTTACTCAAAATGAATCATAGACCTAAATATAGGCACTAAAATGATAAAACACTCAGAAGAAAACATAAGTGCAAACTTTGTTATATTGGATTTGGCAAAGCCTTGTTAGACATGACAAAGCACAAGTAACCAAAGAAAAAATATATACATTGAACTTCAAAATTAAATAATTTTGTGTGTAAAAGAACATGATCAAGACAGTGAAAATATAATACATAGAATGGGAGAAAATATTTAGAAATTATATAACTGATAAAGGTATAGTATCCAGAATATGTGAAGAACTATTACTACTCAACCACAAAAAGGCAAAAAATTCAATTTATAAGTAAGAAAAAAAGTTTAGATATTTTTCTAGAAAAGATATACAGAAGGCTAACAAACACATGAAAAAATGCTCCACATCATTAGTCATCAGGGAAATGCAAATCAAAACACCATGAGATATCACTTCAGACTGACTAGAATGGCTATGATTAAAAAATGGACAATAACGAATGATGATAAAGTGGAAAAATTAGAATGCTCAAACATCGTCGATTGGAACGGAATATGGTGGAATTCTGGGAAAACCAATTTGGCATTTCCTCAAAAAGTTAAACATAGCAGTTACCATAGAACCCAGCATTTCCGCTTTTATACATATAACCAAGATAAATGAAAACATATACCCACACAAAAACTTTTACACAGATGTTCATAACTACACTATTTATAATAACAAAAAAACTGTTAAAAATCAAAATGCTCATCAACCGATACATGGGTAAACAAAATTTTGTATATTCACACAACGAAGTATTTTTCAGCCATAAAAAAGAATGAAGTACTTATAACATGCTACAACATGGATGAAACTTGAAAGCATTATACTACATGAAAAAAGCCAGTCACAAATGGCCATTTATTTCATGATTCAATTTATATGAAGTGTCCAGGAAAGACAAATTCACAGAAACAGAAAGTAGATTAGTAGTTGCCAAGAACTTGGAGGAGAGAGTAATAGGAACTGACTGTTAATGAGCATGGAGTTTATTTTTGGGGTAACCAAAATGTTCTGAAATTAGATAGTGGTGATGATTGCACAACTTTGTGACCATACTAAAAACAAATGAAACAAAAATGTACAAACAAACATTGTACATTTTAAAGTGAAACAGATGTAATTTATGGTGCGTGAATTATAAATCTGTTATTAAAAAATACTCTGGGCATCAGTAGCCAAAATTATACTATAAATAATAGTCTTGGCTGTGCCCAGTGGCTCATGCCTATAATCCCAACACTTTGAGGGGCAGAGGAGGGAGGATCCCTTGAGCCCAAGAGTTACAGACCAGCCTGGGCAACATGGTGAAAACCCCTGTCTACAAAAAATATTTTTTTCATTAGCCCAATGTGGTGGCACATGCCTGTAGTCCCAGCTACGCGGGAGGCTGAGGTGAGAGAATCACCTGTGCCAGGGAGGTTGAGGCTGCAGTGAGCCGTGAGCACCCCGTGCCACTGCACTCCAGCCTGGGCAACAGAGTGAGACCCTGTCTCAAAAAAAAATGTTGAGAATAATAGAAGCTGGCATAAGAAGCATATTTCCACCTATGAGCTTCATAGACTAGACTAGGGAGGTAAAGCATCACAGACAATAATACAGTCTTACTCCAGCTATGGTTTCTTAGAAAGGGTTCTGAGAACAGAATATCTGAAAAATGAGGGTGCATGCGTCCTTCTTTAGACTTAGAATCCTGGAAGACAGTAGCTTCCCTGCATCAACATGTTAACAGGGATGGAGGGAACTTCACATGGCACAGCATGATAAAGGGGTAGTTATATTTTCTCATACTACCAAAAAATGATGAAGTACAACAAGAGAGGGGATGGGAGAGAGAGGGAGAGAAAAAGAGAGAAATCCTGACGGGTTGTGATTTTGATTTTGAGAAGTAAATACTGCAGAGGGTGGGGGATTAGGTGAAGTGTAGTTTGGGCAAATAAAATATGTATTTGAAGCCATCTCAGCAGGTTCTAGCATAGGGGAAACATTAGCTAAAGAGAGATGGATTTCCACGCTTTAGCGGATGCCAGTATGGACAGACATTAATGACTAAGTGCCTCCTTGCAGATGCCATGATACTATTTGAGCAGCTGGAAATGTTTATGCCACACTGGGGAAAGAGGATGAGGTGAGGACAAGCTCTTGTTAGACTGAATTTGAGCCCTAAAATAACTGAGAAACCTTAAAGTTACTTGAGCTTACCCAGAATTGATTAATAGCAAATTTCAGCCACTAGGTGGACTCAAAACCCAAGGTTGAAATGAAGTTTGGTTATGGAAAAATAATGACTTTTGGAACACTTGAATAAATGGCTTACGAAAGTCAGTATTCCTGCGTAAATTCTACTAATATAGTAGAACAAATTTTAAAACTTTACTGTCAAATTTAAATGTGTAATCAAAAACTACTCATATTTTCTTCTTTCATGAATGAACTTCCAGTCCCTTATGCAAGTTTTATTTCTAGATAACAGAATCCAGGATTGGATAAGACTTCATAAAACACCTGGTCTCATGCACTCTCCTTAACTGTACCTACGCCCTCCCTGAATATCTTCAGTGACATAGAAATTCAGAATTCATAATGCAGCCCATCCTATTTTGGACTGTTCTAATTGTTCGAATATTTTTTTAATGATCCAAAATCTATCTTGAATGCCTATAAGCTGGTCCTAATTCTGGTATGATTAATTTATTTATTCCTTTGATAAATATGTAACAGACACCATGCTAGGCCTGGAAGTTGTAACAGGAAACAAGACAGGCATAGTGTAGAGGCTAAGACACACATTAAACACAGATCAAGCACCCTTATCTTTCCCTGGCTTACACAAAAGCTGTGGGTTATAAAGGAATTTAGGAGAAAGCGAATACAACAGACCACCTTTTCACAAGTAGTGCCTGTTTGTCAAGATAGTTATTGAAATAAATGGTTCATGAAATCTGAAATAGATGGGAAGGAAAGTGAAAATAGAAGGAGGCTACCATAAAGGAAAAAGTCAGAGGTATCAATGGACTAGAAGTCAAAGAACTATTATGGTAGGAGTGTTTGCATAAACACTCTGGAAGATAGGAGACTCTCATGAGAAAATAGGATGCTTGATGAAGATTAGCACATTTGGGGGTATCTTCAGTAACAACATCTCTGGAAGTTAGTCAGTACTACAGCATAATCTAACATCTTCATTTCCAACTGTTAAGGACTGAGTGTATCTCCCCCAAATTTATATGTTATAATTATACCCAATAATATGATATATTCAGAAGCAGAACTTTTGGGAGGTAATTAGAGTTAGATGAGGTCAGGTGGGTAGGGTCCTCATGATGTGATTAGTATCCTTATAAGAAGAGAGGGTGACCAGAGCTCTCTCCACCACATGAAGATACAATGAGAAGGTGGTAGTCTGAAAGCTAGGAAGAGGGCTTACTATGAACAGAATCTCTCACCTTGATCTCGGACTTCTCGCCCCCACAACTGTGAGAAAATATGTATCTGTTGTTTAAGCCATCCATCTATGTTATTTTATTATAGCAGCCCCAAAAGACTAAGACAGCAACCTAGAAACTGTTTTCTGGTGTACAAAGAAAATTGTAACCTCAAATATAATTTTCCATCATATGGATTAAATTAGTTATTTCTGGTAAATCACCTACAAATGTTGCTTGACACATAATAAGCACTCAATAGATGTTACATTATTGTTACTATCATTACTATTGTTATATTTACTTCAATCTCTAGAATGAGTTACAAGAAACTTAAGAACCTTTGGAATTTGCAGGAGGGAAAGAAAGTTAAAAAACTGCATGAATAATATTTTAACATTTGTACAGACTTTGCTGTTGGTTTACAAAGCACCTCCAAACACATTTTACATATATATATATATGTGCAGAGTATATATACATATTATATATTTTTATATATGCAGAGTATATATTTATCAATATATATGCATATATAATTTTCACAATATTCCTTTGAGGTATAAGTAGGAAAAGTAGTAACCTGATTTTACAGATGAGGCAGTGACTCCCAAAAGCTCTGATAATAGGCAATCTATAATGTGAGCCTGATTAATCTGACCTCACCTCTGATGTTCTTTTTTCTCTTCTGCCTCCCCTGATAATAATAGAGCGGAAAAAGAAACCTTAAAAAGCTAACTGGTCCAAGCTAGTCTAAGTTTAAATAGAGAGCAGGAAATCTAAAATAATTATTCAGAACTTTATCATTATTTTCTTGATTACTTTGTAAAATTCTCTTAGAGAAGCCTTCTTTCTGGCTTCTGTACCTGTTCCTCAGAACTGTGTTTTTCTGTCCTTTCCAACTGAGGAACTATTCCTATAATTAGTTGTTCTTTCCACACATGAGACTCCAACATCCTTTTCTTTCTCTTCTGCACTAGTCACTTCTTCCTAAAGGAAGACAACACTGCCTTACTCGTAGAAAATCAGCGCATAGTTTTATTTCTCTTCCATTATGCTTCTTTAACAAGTCTTGCACCATTTTGAATCAAATCCATTACAATTAGGTACGTTCCTTGTCTTATCTGTTTTAAGGGTATTAAGTATGTGATTTTGGGGGGATCATCCAAAAGTTTTGCATTGTGTCTAATAAATGCTAAAGATGAAGTCAGAAAACGGCTTGCCTGCTCAGGTTAAGCCTTTTATAGACTTTTCATAGGATACTTTTAATATTTATTCTAAGTGTGAAAAATTGTAAGAGCAAAGGACTCCCCATTCAATAAATGGTGCTGGGATAATTGGCTAGCCATATGCAGAAGATTGAAACCAGACCCCTACCTTACACTACATACAACAATCAATGCAAGATGGATTGAAGACTTAAATGTAAAACCTGAAATTGTAAAAATCCTTGGAGATAACCTAGGAAATATCAATCTGGATATAGAGCCTGGCAAAGATTTCATGATGAAGACACCAAAGCAATTGCAACAAAACAAAAATTGACAAACGTAATTTAATTAAAGAGCTTCTGCAAAGAAAAGAAACTATCAACAGCATAAACAGAAAACCTACACAGTGGCAGAAATTATTTGCAGACTGTGCATCCAACAAAGGTCTAATATCCAGAAACTATAAGGAACTTATACAAATTTACCAAAACCCCCCAAACCACCCCATTAACAAGTGGGCAAAGGACATGACCAGACACTTTTCAAAAGAAGACATACATGCGGCCAACAAGCATATGAAAAATTACTCCATATCACTAATCATTAGAGAAATACAAATCAAAGCCACAATGAGATACCATCTCACACCAGTCAGAATGACTATTATTAAAAAGTCAAAAAATGACAGATGTTGGAGAGATCGTGGAGAAAAGGGAACGCTTATTTTGTTGGTGGAAGTGTAAATTAGTTCAACCATTGTGGAAAGCGGCATGGCAATTCTTCAAAGAGCTACAAACAGAACTACCTTCCAACCCAGCAATCTCATTACTGGGTATATAACCAAAGTAATATAAATAATTCTATCATAAAGACACATGCACATGTACGTTTGCATCACTCTCCACAATAACAAAGACATAAAATCAGCCTAAATGTCCATCAACAGTAGACTAGATTAAGAAAATGTGGTACATATACACTACTGAATACTATGCAGCCATAAAAAAGAATGAGATCATTTCCTTGGCAGCAATATGGATAGAGCTGGAGGTCATGATCTTAAGCAAACTAATACAGAAAAAGAAAACCAATACTGCATGTTCTCACTTGTAAGTGGGAGCTAAACAATGAGAACACATGGATACTAGGAGAGAAACAACAGACACTGGGGCCCACTTGAGGGTGGTGGGTGGGAGGAGAGAGAGGATCACAAAAAAATTACCTACTGGTTATTACATTTATTACCTGAGTGATGAAATTATCTGTATACCAAATTCTCATGACACACAGTTTACCTACATAACAAACCTGCACATGTACTCTTGCACCTAAAATACATTTTTAAAAAAGCATAAAAATCACACCTGCATTTCCAAGTCACATTGCACTTCAACAGAGTCCAATCTTTCCCATGAAATACTGTATGAGAGATTCTGCAAAGCAAGGGTAGATGACCCTGTATCCATCTGTGTCCTTCAATATTGGGTCTCCCAATTCCTCACCTAGACCCCCAACCTCTTCAGGAAAAAAAAGTAATTGTCTTGAATTATTTTCTACTTGTTTAATGTTTCCTAATCTTATCTTCTCATTTAGAATATGCAACTCCCTCGAATAGGGGAACCCTTCTGTACCACTTACCTCCCTCAGGCTCCAACATTCATTGTTCATGGATACAGGTGAAAAGGAAAAAAAAGTTACCTTCAGCAAGTCATTTACTCTTTCTTACTCTACATTTCCTTATCTTTACAGTGAAGGAGCTAATCTAGGTCAGAAGTTCTTCACCAAATGTCTGTATTAGAAACCAGATAACTTTTCCAAGCCCAAACCTCAAAGTCAAGTTTAGTAGATCAGGGATGAGGCCAATAAAATTTATCTCAGAGAAATTTCTCATGTGTTTCTGAAGTAGATCCCATGTTGAGAAATGAGCTGTAAGAAATCTATCACTCTATAAACATGCTATTTTTCTGTAGAACATATAAACATTTATATCCCTTCCTGAGATTTTTATTTGTCTAGGGCTCTTCACACTGGCTAGTTTGGCCACTGCTCTGTATAAGTCAGCTATCAGTTCTCATAGTCTGGAACATCTAGATTACTAAATGTAACAAGTAATGAGATTTATTTTGTTATTCTTTGTTTGGATGTTAGCATTGCTGAAATGGATGTCCTATATATATTTATATATTAAAGAGCAGTCTTAATGGTCTGAAGTGGCAGGAGAGAAGAGAGAAAATGTTTAACTGTTTATTCAAACAAATAATGGGAGTCAGATTCATTTTTAATAGCTTTTCTTTCCTCTTAGGGAGATTCTATAGTCACTGCATTTTAGTATTTTTCCTATTCATTATATGAACTCTCAGTTGCTCATTTTGATTATTTCATCACCACTGCTCAGTCAGTAAAATTAAAACAATGGGAAAATGATAACATCCAATGTTGTTATTTCTCTTTGAAAACAATTCTCCCCTCTGCAAATAGAATAAATTTACAAAATACACAGTGTAACAACATTTATTCTTTTATTTTTTAATTTTAATTTTTTGGATACTTAGTAGGTGTACATATTTATGGTGTACATCAGATGCTTTGATATAGGCATGGAAAACATAATAATCGCATCATATGAAATACCTCAACATTTATTCTTAATGGATCTACGGATCCATTAAGAATAATGGATGGGATGGGAGATGTGAAATGATGAGTGACTGCCAGTGGTTATGTGACAACTGGTCCCTCTGGTGCTTGGAGGCCTGGAGCAGCAGTTTATGGCACCATTTGGAAGCAAGCTTTTCCACTATACAGAAGCCTGCAAAACATTTTTGGCATGCATGCCACAGGATAAACTTTCTTACAGCTGCCAGTGATAATGCTAATAATGATGTTGATGATCACAGTCATATTCTGTTCTCAAAATGATAAAGAAGCAGCATAGGTCTATGAAATCATCACATTGCTAGCATATAAACACCTGGTACTTCAATTTAAAAAGCAAAAAGAAAACTAGACTGGGAATCAGAAGACATAGGCACCAATGCCAGTTTGGTCACTCACTAACTCCTTGGGAAATTTCATTCCCTCTCTTTGGGGATCATTTTTTTCACCTATAAGAGTGTTATGTTAGACCAATAATATTCAAACTGTTATTTAAGGATTCCCCTCAATGGCTGCCTAAATGTGATAAGAGGGAGCAGAATCTTTATTCTTCCTCTTTCAATCAGAGGAACTCTACCTCTTCCAATGCCTGTTTTATGTATGGGCTACTTCGTGTTTGTGTGTGTGTGTGCGAGAGAAAGGAGAGAGAGGTTTAGTTTCCTGGATTTTTAAGAGTAAATTTATTCTAGAACATGGGACTTTATATCTGTGATGTCCTAGAACTCTACAGTATCTATGATTAGAAAACAAAGATCTTCCAAAGATTTTCATGATAAATACCTCCTTTATTTTGCTTCTATTAGATCTTTTGCTATTTCTTTCATACCCTCTACCCCCATCCTCCTGAGCTTCAAGTCATAACATGCCTAATGAATGGCACTAACACTGTTACCCCCATAGGGCTGACTTAAGACCTAAAAAGATTCAGGGTTATATAGGTAGTGGACTTTTGAGAAACTAGCATGGGAGACTCAAATTCTCATCCCACACCATTTCTGGCTGAAGCCTGAATGCCCTTTTCGGAGCACAGAACCTGTTGTTACACATGGAGAATTTAGGTTTATAAAGGCAGACCCTTCTGGGAGAAAGAACATTGACATAATCACACTCAATTAGAAATGACTTTTATCTGGGCATGAGCTTTTGATTATGGAAAAACTGAATTATTGAGCACCTCAAGTCACAGGATGGAACACATCTCAATTTCTTCATATATAACATGGGAATAATGATAAATATAATAAAATAACAATGACACTGATAATTTATTGAGTCTTCAAGGGGTTCCAATATCATATGAGACCCTTGACTTACACTACCCATTTTTTCCTCACCTTATAAGGTGAGTGAATTATCCTTACAAGGTAGTGAAGTATCTATTGCAATGGTAAAGTCTCTGTTATTTATAACTTTATTACTATTATTATTATTATTAGGTAAAGGATCTAGGATGGGGAAGCTAGAAGTCAAATTGTACCAATTATACAGTCCTGCTGTCATGCTTCCTTGACAGTATGGAGTCAGCTCTCTCTTTTACGTGATATCCTAATCTTTGCCAATATTACATTCAGTTAGAAAAATAAACTACTATAGCTACAGCATTTGCTGCTGAAACCTACCATAACTCTTCCACAAAGGTTCTCACCAGTCTCTCTACACTTTAGTGTAATAGAAAGTACTGTGAATTAAACTAAGTTTATGTTTCTCTCCTCCAGCATTTACAATATGATTTCTCATTACAAATCATCCAGCTTAAATTTCCTGCTCTATCAGAAATATTTATTTATTTATGTTCAGAAATGTTATTTTAAATCAAAATGCTATAAAGTTTCTCAAACATTTGGAAACAGCCAGAGAAATCTTTCTCTTCATATATCCCTGTAGAACACACAAGTCTGTCACTCCCAGCAGTAAACAGTAGCAGCTTGTGTGGACTCTCATCTCTTATTTTACTTTGAGGTGGTCCTATTAAGTAATCAGAAGGGATTTATTCAAAGTATTTTTTAGGTTGGCAAAAAATAAATGCTTCCCCCATCCCAACCTTGAACATGATGATTAATTAATTTGTTAGAATTGTGCTGATGTTTATCGAAAGGATTTATATTAGTAGAATATTTTACCACTTACCAAGTCTTCTCACCTCCCTTTAATTTTCATAAAATTCCTGTGATATAGTTGGGGCAAGTGTTGCTATCCTCATTTTCCAGATGAGGAGATTGAGACTGGGAGAAACAGTGTGTCTTGTCAGGCAGTTAGTGAGTGGCTGAGTTGCAACATTATTAAAACATAAATATTCTCATTATGCATTCTTTGCTCTTTCCAGCTCTCTTTCCACCTGTTTCATTACATGATTCAGTTGTGTAACAGGATTGAAACAGGGATGTCTCTACACACCTACCACAGGAAAAAAAAAATCTCTGGTAGACTATAGAGTCCCTAGAAGACAAATCTTTCTCCCAAGCTCTCCTTCAAGGTAATGCCTCTATAAATGGTACCTTGTATTTACAGCCTCCAGAATTATTGGTCTTTACCTCCTTCATTGGGTCCCTCAATTCTCCACCAACTGCCTTCAGGTTCTGCTCTACTACTCCCTATATTGCACATTCTCTCTGTTTTTTTAATAACCCTGGGAAAAGTATAGGGTAGTTTTTAAGGTAGGGTTGCCAGGATGCCCAGTTAAATTTGGACTTCAGATTAATAATGAAATAATGTTTTAGTATTAGTGTGTCCCAAATATTGCATGAGGACATACTTTATACTAAAATATAATTTGTCGATTATCTGAAATTCAAATTTAACCAAGTATCCTGTATTTTTATTTGATACATCTGGCAACCCTAGTTAAAAGCAGAGGTTCTGATGTCAAAATAACTTCATTTGAATACTCACCCTGATGAGCTGCATAATCTTGGACAAATTTTTAACTTTTCTCAATTTTAATTTCCTCCTGTCTAAAATAGGGGTAATAATATAATAAGGTTGTTGAAATAATTGAGATAATGTGAATAAAGCTCTTAGCAGAGTGCGTACCACATAATAGATACTCCAAATGGTAACTATTATTATCACTGAATGACAATGAATAATAGCAGCACGCTCCCTGCTAAATAGACAGGCATTTAATAGGTAATAAAATTTTCAGTTCATGGGCAAAGCTCATTCAGAAAACTTCACATAGACAGGTCTTCTGAGGGCATGGACACTTTTTTATAGTTGAGCCTTAAAGTATAAGTCCTCAGTGTTTGAAACAGAAATACCTTTCTTTATGAAGCACAATGCACTATCAGTAGTTTTTAAGTTTTAGTTGACATATAAAGCAGGAATAAATGCTCAGGATAATCAATATCCAGCATCCAAAATGTGGTCCTCTCAGATCACTTAATTTGGTCAACAGGTGTCAGGCAATATATAATTCCAAGTCAACCTGCATTTGTATAGTATATCAAGAAGCAAGTGATCTTAAAGAAGCACACAGCAATAAAGATTGAAAACAAAGCAAAAGAGAATCAAGAAAGGTGAGTAAGAGTGAGGAAGGTCCAGTCAAAGTTTGAGGTTCTGGAATAGGTCTTCAGTTACTTAGAAACTGTATGAAAAAAGTAGGGCCCAAGCCTAGGGATACTAGTGATACTGAGCAGGATTTTGAAACGGGAATCTCAATACTGAAGTACATACATGCAGAAATGAGACTCAAAATATTTAACAACTCATAGGGACAGGAAGTACCACAGGTAGTATTGGAGCTGAGTACTAGAGGCTCCATGTTTGTCTGTGTAGATGCTGGATCATGAGAAGATACAAAGGTCCAGAGGGCGGAGCCAGAGTTGCCAAGATTCTCATGATGGGAGGATTTGGAGGGTTGGGGCAGCAGCTTCATATCAGCTGCTATGGAAAGAATTCAACATGTTTAATGGCCATTAGAGCCACACTGTTGTACACCAGCAAAATAGCAGTCCTGGATACAAGATTCAGACTAGATTATGAACAGAACAAGCAGACAGAACTACCAGTGTGGAATGATCTAGAGCTGCGTGCTTGTACTTCTCATATCCCTAAAGTTGGATTGTGATGATTTACTATTGCTCTCTGCTTTTACATCATCTAGACTATAAGCTCAGTGAAAAACAGGAATTGCATCATTTTTGTTCACCATTTATTCCTATTACCTATCACAGTGCTCAGTAAGTATTTGTTTAATACATGAAGAGCCAATCAATTTTTCTTAATATATGGTGTGTTCTGAAGATATTTCTACATGAAAGACAGAAAGATCTGAGAACTCCTTTTTGGTTTTCAACTGGCCTTGGAGATCTGCTACAGACACAAGCTGGTCCCATATCATTAAAACCGTTATAATATCAATTTCTAAGCTTCTCTTAAGCAGAAGACTACAAGGGTGTTATACAATTACAAGACTTCCTTAAAGTAAAGCTGAACCCTTAAATGAAAGAGGTAGAACCACACAAGTCCCTGGGATCCTGAGTTGTTAAATTTTTTCAATTCTATTCAAAATCTATTTAGCAGAAATGGGTTCAGTTTACAATTATTAGCATACATAGGCTGGGCGTGGTGGTTAACGCCTGTAACCCCAGCACTTTGGGAGGCTGAGGCGGGCGGATCACTTGAGGCCAGGAGTTCGAGACCAGCCTGGCCAACATGATGAAACCCCTTCTACCCAAAAAATTAAAAAAAGGAAAGAAAGAAAGAAAGAAAAGAAAAAAAGAAAAAAGAAAAGAAAAGAAAAGCCAAGCCAGGCATGGTGGTGGGTGCCTGTAATCCCAGCTACTCGGGAGGCTGAGAGATGAGAATTGCTTGAACCCGAGAGGTGGAGGTTGCAGTGAGCCGAGATTGCACCACTTAACTTCAGCCTGGGAGACAGAGTGAGACTTCATCTCAAAAAAAAGAAAAAAAAACATAAATAGTATATTCAGGAAAAGACTTTGGTCACTTTCAGATAAAACCAAGGTCTTTCACAATTTATTTTTCTCGTAATAAACTGCCTCCACTCATTTGGGGAAATAGAACCAGAACTATAGAGAAATTTTGTAAGCTACAAGTTTCTCAGCTTTAAATAGAAATAGCAGAACAATTCAAAGACAGCTTCCCACAACAATGATTCAGTATTTTTTAAGTTGCAGTCAATATACCTTAATTTGTTTCACATCACTTTACAGATATGATCTTCAATATAATTATTTAGAGGCTATTTCATAAAACTCCAAGTGATGGTGTGTATTTATACCCTAACAAATACTGAACCAATATGTAATAATAAGGCCATTTTTACAAATTTACTAGACCTTGAGGAAAAGAACATAACAATGTAACTGAGGACCAAAAGCTCCAAATTGCCCCTAGGTAATAAAAGGACACCTAGCTTAATTTTAACACTGTGATAACTATTTTGCTTTCAAATTATTATTTCATTTTTTCATGGATTTTCACACATACATAGTTGACTGGCTAAATTTCCATGCAAGTGACTAGTTATGAAAACATTAAACTACATTTAATTTGATTTAATAGATATCTGTTGATATTAATTTGTTGATTTCTTTCTGCATTGACTAAAAAAAATCATTCCTTTAACTACACAATTATTCCAGTTTATCAGTTTATCCTACACACTAATTCTCATCAAGTCACCTCTCCACCCTTCATCCACACATACATTACGTAATAATGCTAAGTTAGCCATTTACCTCTTCAAAGTAAACTATCTTAAAAAATATATTCCTTTAATTTTTTAACAGGAAAATAATTTCGTGGTATTAGATACTTCCATCCCCAAAGCAGGAACTATTTACTTTGTTTCTCCATTTCCAAAAACAAGTTTTAGTAAGACCCAGAAAGTCTGCTTACAACCTTGAATGGACCATCACAGTGTTAGGTCCAGTCTTAATAACCTCGGGGAGACTGGCTTCTTTTGAGGACTAACCTATAAGACAAAATGAGCCTGAAAATTCCAGGAGTACAGTATAGACTGTATCTCTTAAATAGGTGTTGGTGTTTAAAGGACACTCTTGACAGAAAACTTCCTGAGACTTGGTCAAATCTACTTTGGGACCCACAATAGTGACCTGAAATCCAAAGACGGGATGTAAATTAAACTGATCTATATAAGCAGGGAGCAACATTGTATTCAGCATCCTTCATAAACTCCTTGACTTTTTTTCCTACCAGAAAACATGATGATCCTCCCCAACGACTGAATCATTTACATTTTGTATATTCATAGAAGCACAAAACGAATACTTTCAACTTCTGCAAATGTGAGACAAAAAGAAATTTATTATTCCATACATTTCAAAAAATGTTTTGAAAGGGAACATTATGGTCATATAAATAATACCGATGGTGAACAACAGAATGAAGAATGACTACTTAAAGCCAAACTATGCTAAATCACAACGTCATATGCATATTTCATTCAAGCACTGAAGTCAGTAGGTATGAGGTCAGGATAAAACGTAACACCAAATTCATCATCTTTCCTTACTTAAGAATTGCATTATATTTTTAAACCATTTTAACCATAAGTGAGTATCTTTAGATGATAAATATTTTGATGACACAGATAAAGAGGGGGAAATTTTAAATATGAGAGCGTAATTAAATGCATTTATAAATTTGATATATACTAAATACTGTGGTTTTGTATATGATACTATGTAATTTCAACACTTTATGAATATATCTGTTTCATAAAATATTAATACATATTACTGGACCTAAGAAAACAATCCACACTAGTAATACTGTCCCATGATATTTAATTCACTTTTGTAAATGTTAACATTAATATTTCATAATTTTAGTAACTCTCCTATTAAAATGCCGAAATTTAACAGCATAAAAGACAATATACATACAACTTTTTTTCAATATCTAAAGATACTGAGTTACTTTAAACTCTTACTCATTGTCTCTTCAGAATCAAATGTCTGAATGATAAACATTAATTGGTATGGTTATGGTAGAGGATGGTGTGGAAGGGAGCAATAAAGAGAAAAACAGAAGACAAATCAGGGGTACTTACTATTATTAGATCATATACATTTGAAGAGGGTGAAAATAAACGAAGTATTGTGTGATCATAAAAAACGAGCTATTAGGGCATTACAGTGACTCATTCTACAAGAGTTAATCAAAGACCCAAGAAAAAATTGGAAGGGATGGAAGGGAATATATGATTGTCAATGCACAAATCTTATTAATGCATAATGCAATTGTAAGAATTCTATAACAGAAATTAATACCATTTTATTTTACAACACAGAAGTGCATGTCTATCATTTTCCTATTTCTATTAAAAGTATGGAGTCTTCTTTCCAAGTCTGCAATAAATTATACTGTTACTTTAGATATATTTTGTTAATTTATTTAATTTGGATCCGAAAATTTCCATAATAAACTACTGCCAGGATCATGATTGAGGATAATCTGATGTGTAATAAGTTGCTGAGAACCTTTTTATTTCTAAATGGTGGTTCTCTACTTTCTTCACTCTACCTGTGTGTTTTTTTTCCTCCCATCTCTAAAAACAACCAGAGATAACAGTGATATAAAACAGTTAATGCTCGTTCCAGGAAAGTTCCAAAGCACCAAGTTTCAATATAAATGGTACTTACAAATTTTCCATTTTTCCTTAAGCCCTCCCTCCATGTTTCTTTCAAACATCATTTAAATTTGACTTTTGTTTAAAGTATTTCCTTTTATATGTCCCCATACTCAATCTTGATATATAGATATCCACATATAGATATCCAGATATAGATATCCACATATAGATATCCAGATATAGATATCCACATATAGATATCCAGATATAGATATCCATATCCATAACTACATATCATAATTTCCCCTAGACTATTTTGATTGTCAGTATAAATGCGTTTTTGTGGGGAAATAAATGTCCCTCTCTGATATACCTTCTCATGGTCCTTCAGTATCTTGGAGCAATAATCCACTCCTCATCCCATTTTTGTTGTAAATAAAGCTGTGCGACACTGAGGTAATTGATTTGGGGTGCCAGTGACAATTAAATAGGTAAACGCATACAGAGTTTAGTTTGGCAACTATTAAAATATCAACACATTAAGAACTTGCACTCTAAAACGTAGTTACTATAGTTGTCTCCTATAAGAATTCAGATGTACCATGGGTCAAATCATTTCTCAAAAACTATAATAACCACACCCCAAAGAAGGCTAGATGTGACATGATAAGCTAGAAAAAACTCTTGTTATTGCAGTCTCTTAAGTCTGTCCAAACAACCTACATTTGTTATCTACTGTAGATGTGATAGAAGTTCCCTACTTGTCTGGTTCGATATTTGTAAGTCAGGGGTACTGAATTAAGAACTCTTTCCACTCTTTCCATGAGAAATGTTACACAGATTACATAGTGGTAGAGTGTAGGGCAGCTTCCTGAGCTTTCCATAACTCAATGTTCTGCTCTTGAGAGATTTGAAAGCTGATGTAATTTACATTATTCATTAGCAAATTGGAAGCCATAAGATTGGTTACAGAGTGGCATCTGGTGAGATTTTCTTCCAATAATTGTTTGCAGAGCTAGTCCACCTTTCTTTCCATATAAGTATTAAGCATAGAATTAGAGAGGGGCTGTTTATGAAACAACATACTTTTTTCTTGGCTTTCATCCCCATTCAATAATTTTGAGGTAGGTAATGTCTCTAGAGGCCCAATGACAGGAGAATGACCCAGTGGCCTACCAACTGAAAACAAAAGGGGACCATTAAAAACATCATTATGTGTGTGTTCCGTAAAGCAGCCTGAATCACACATGTTCCTCACATCGTCACCTCCAATCTGTAGGTCAGAATAATTGTGACAAATACTCATACACAACCAGGATCTATATAAATCTAGTTGTCTTTGATCATGTTTTTCTCTCTTTGAAATGGGCAACGCAACTGACACATTTCCTGGAAGAGGTAATACCTTTGCATTTTGCTACAGTTGTCTCATCCACAGATTTTATTTGATCTGTATCATCATTTTGCTCTGTTACACTTTCTTTCCTAGTTGTTTCTTGATTTTCCATCTTAGCAGAGGAAAGTGAATTTTCTTCTCTATCTAAAATCTTCTTTTTCCAAGTTTCCTTTTCAGTCTTCTTACATGTAAATGGTTTGCAAAATTTTGCATATTTCTGTTCTTTGTACAGAAGATCAATTAGGAAAGCTTCTCTAAGCATTTTGTTAGACAAGTTTTACAAAGTAAGTTTCTAGTATATTCCTGTAATATAAAATAACTCATTAAGGCAATGTACATTAAAAATGTCAAATAAGTATTTAACTCCTACGTGAAATAAAAGTAATTTAGGGAAGCCGTGTTGCTCAAAGTTTAGGAAATAGGACCAGGAATAACTAAACCTGGGTTTCCGTTCTGCAATGAACTTTTAACATAAGCTAATTTATTTAACATTTTGCGGTCTCAAATTTTTCAGCAGTTAAATGATGATACTGCACACATCATTTAATGAATCTTCACGGGACTATTGTCAGTGTAATATTATATGGTGCACATGCAAGTGTTAGAAGTACAAACATACAAATGTATAATTATTATATTCAACTATCTTTAAGGGTTTATTTAGAAATGATAAACTTTCTATCTTCAAAGAGTCTACTTAAAATGAAGGCAGCTGTCAAGGAATTGGTTTTAACTATCCTTTTTAATTAATGTCATTTGAGTCATAGATTGAAGTAAATTACTATACCTTAGAATGTATATAAGATGTGGAAATTTATATACAGTTTGGACTCCTGCAAATTTGTTGATTGAAAACATAAATACAGCCACTTTACTTTTTGAATAATGTAAGTGAATAGTTATCATTTCGGTGGTGAGAGCTATGTGAGATAATGCATTTGTTAATTAGCTAGATTTAACCACTCCAAAATGTTGTACATAATAAAAACATACAATGTTATTTGTGAATTTAAAAAATAATGTAAATGTAAATAGGTTTCTCAACTTCATTATCAATCTTTTTTTCTTTTTCTTTCCCTTTCCCTCCCTCCACTCCTCCTCACTTTCTTCTCTTCTCTTGTTTTGTATTAAAATCTTACTTAGCACTTATTGCAGACTTTTGTGTGGCTCTTTAGTGCAATTGGCAATCTTTACACCTCCAATTTTCTCAACATTACAAAAGCATGAAAGAAAAAAGCATACTTGATTCAAGATACAATTTTCCTCTTATAAGACAACACTGTTTGTTATAACTGTTTCCAGGAAATGCACTTATATTCATATTTACAGCCTTCTGTGAAGAAAATCAAAAAAAAGAACCAAAATATGTAAGATTTTAGACTTACCTTTTTGAAATATCAGGATACCTAAAGATTTGTTTTTCTGAGACTCCAACAGTAAAAACACAGAAGATGTCCTGTTTGGCTCATTTAGTTCTCATATTTCGTTTACTCTTCAAAAATAAAGCTTTAACCACACAAATTGTTCTGCTTTCCACTCACACCCTGGGATTGAACCAAACTAATAAGAAAATGACATGGATTGATCACATGTTCGGTATGGTAGTGATCCAAAAGAGGATCTTGAAAATGTTTATTCAAGTTTTCAGTAACAATGAGAATGGGAAAATGTTAATAGCACTAGCTTTTTTTCATACAAGTTAAGGCAGAGACAAGGTTATTTTAATTTTTAAAAAATATTTATAGATTCATGGGGTACATGTGCAGGTTTGTTACATGGATATATTGTGCAGTGGTGGAGTTTAGGCTTCTAGCATACCCATCACCTGAAAAGTGAGCATTGTACCCAACAGGTAATTTTTCAACCCTCATCCCCCTCCCAACCTGCCCCCTTCTGTAGTCTCCAGTGTCTATTATTTTCCTCCGTATGCTCATTTATACCCATTTAGCTCCCACTTGTAAGTGGGAAAGTGTGGTATTTTGTTTTCTCTTTCTAAGTTATTTCACTTAGGATAATGGCCTCAAACTCCATTCATGCTGCTGCAAAAGACATGATTTCACTCTTATTTTATGGCTGGGTAGTATTCTATTGTGTGTATATACCATATTTTCTTTATCCAATCATCTACTGATGGACACTCAAATTGATTCCATGACTTTTCTATTGTGAATAGTGCTGTGATAAACACACAAGTACAGGTGTTTTTTTTTACATAACAATTTATTTTTCTTCTGATAGGTACCCAGCAGTGGGTCTAATGGGTCAAATGGTAATTCCATCTTTAGTTAAAGTATGGATACCAGAATATTTTGTAACAATGAATATTTAGAAGTAATCTAAATGACCATCAACTACGAATTGTTAAATTAATTATAATATATCTATAACATGAAATAATAAACTGAGTGCTTTCAATGACATAATAATAATAAGCATCTACAGAGTAATTACTACATGTCAGTCATTCTAAATGTCCTATATATAGTACTTAATTTAGAGCTAAAGCTACTACCCCCATTTTACAGAGAAAACAAAGGAAGTTTATATACTTCCTGACAGGCATAAAGCTAGTAAATGATAGAACTAGGATTTGCACCTGATAATTGGATTCAGAACCAGAATCCATGCTCTTAATGGCTACACTACATTTCCCCTATGTGTACAGAATACAAGTTGTGAAACAATATATGCATCATGATTCCATGATGAATTGTGTGCACTATATGCCAGGCACTATTCTAAATACTTCACACATGCTAAAGACATCCTCATAACATGTCTATGAAGCGCTTAATATCCCCATTTTACCTATGAGGAAACCCAGGCACAGAGACATTAGATAACATCACCAATATCACACAACATTAAGTAACAGAATCTGGGTTTTAACCCAGGAAGCCCAGCTTCAAAGAAAGCATGGTTAACTTCTTTGTTAAACTGACTTTTTCTCCCTTTTAGTTACCTTAATATGTGTAACCATGTTGGCGGAAAAGGATACAAATCAAATTCTTAATAGTAGCTTCCTCTGGAGGGACAGTGGTAGGCGGTAACTGAAGGAATATTTTCACATTTTACTCTATATATTTACACATGGTTTGAATTCTTGTACAAATGAGCATGTATTCACGTATTACTTGAATAATAATAAAACATTTACACACACAAAAGAAGAAGAAAAATCTTTACTACCCTCTTTATAATGTATTTTCCTCAGCCTCACAAATGTCTTACCTGTTTTTTAGAAGGATTTTTACACCCAGATGCAAACTGCCAAAGTAGACTAGGCAGCATAAGCAAAATATCTATGTAGTTCACATTTTTATCGACAATTATCAATACAGCTTTTGTTTTACAGTTTTACCATTATAAATGATTATCACAAACATACTATAGAGTAGGTTATAATTTTGTATGCCATAGTAACCTAATTATTTTAGGTTGTCAAAGATACACTCTTGTAAGAAGTAGTGCACTAATTTAGCTTAGAGTCAAGGGAATGGCTCACAGTGAAATGAGGAGGCATGTCACAATCCTACACTGGAAACATAATGAAACCTATTTAAAAAAAAAAAGAAGAAGAAGAAAAAGAGAGAGAAAAGAGCAACCCAACCCGAAAGTTAGCAGAAGACAAAATAAATAACCAAAATCAGAGCTAAATTGAAGAAAAATGAGAAGAAAAACCATACAAAAGGTCAACGAATCCAGGAGTTTGTTCCTTGGAAGAAATTAGACTGCTAGCTAGACTAATAAAAAAAAGAGAAAAACACAATCAGAATGACAAAGGGGACATTACCAATGATAACCCAGAAATAGAAAAAAAAAAAAAACACCCTCGGAGACTACTATGAATACCTCTATGCACAAAAGCCAGAAAACTTAGAAGAAATAAATTCCTGGCAACATACAACATGTTGAGATTTAACCAGGAAGAGATTGAATCCCTGAACAGACCAATAACAAGTTCTGAAATTGAATCAGTAATAAAAAGCACACCAACCAAAAAAAGCCCAGGACCAAAAACGCAGCTGAATTCTACCAGGTGCATAAAAAAGAGCTGGTACCATTCCTACTGAAAATACTTCAAAAACAATGATGGGGATGGACTCCTCCCTGACTCATGATGCCACCGTGATGTTGATACCAAAACCTTGCAGAGACACACACAAAAAAAGAAAGTTTCAAGGCAATATCCTTGATGAACATAGATGCAAACATCCTCAACAAAATACTGTTAATATTATAGTAAACAAAGTCCAGCAACACATCAAAAAGCTAATCCACCATCATCCCTAAAATGCAAGGTTGATTCAACATACACAAATCAATAAATGTGATTCACCACATAAACAGAACTAAAAGTAAAAACCACATGATCATCTCAGTAGATGCAGAAAAGGTCTTCCGTAAAATTCAATATTTATTCATGTTAAACACCCTCAACAAACTAGGCATTGAAGGAAAATACTTCAAAATAATAAGCACCATCTATGAAACACCATAGCCAGCATCGTACTGAATGGGTAAAAGCTGGAAGCATTCCCACTGAAAACTGGAACAAGACAAGGATACGCTCTCTCTCTAGTCCTATTCAACATTGTACTGGAAGTCCTGGCCTGAGTAATTAGGCAAGAGCCAGAAATAAAAGGCATCCAGTTGGGAAGAGTGGAAGGCAAATTTTCCCTGTTTGCAGACAATATGATTCTATAGCTAGAAAACCCTATAGTCTCTGCCCAAAAGCTCCTTGATCTATCTGATAAACAACTTCAGCAAAGTTTCAGGACACAAAATCAATGTACAAAAATCAGTAGCATCCCTATAAACCAACAACATCCAAGCTGGGAACTAAATTAAGAATGCAATCCCATTCAAAATAGCCACAAAAAGAATAAAATACTCAAGAATATAGCTAACCAAGGAGGTGAAAAACCTCTACAGCAAGAATTACAAAATACTGCTTAATGAAATCAGAGATGGCACAAACAAATGGAAAAACATTCCATGATCATAGGTAGGGAGAATTAATATTGTTAAAATGGCCATAGTGCCCAAAGCAATTTACACATTCAATGCTATTCCTATGAAACTACCAAGTCAATGCTATTCCTATCAAACACAAATTTCATTACAGAATTAGAAAACTCTAATTTAAAATTCATTTGGAACCAAAGAAGAGCCCGAATAGCCAAGGCAACCCTAAGCTAAAAGAACAAAGCTGGAGGCATCACATTATCTGACTTCAAACTATACTAAAAGTCTACAGTAACCAAAATAGCATGATATTGGTACAAAAAAAAAAGACACATAGGCTAATGGAACAGAATAGAGACTCCAGAAATAATGCCAGCCACCTACAACCATCTGATCTTCAACAAAATTGACAAAAACAAGCAATGGGGAAAGGACTCCCTATTGAATAAATGGTGCTGGAACAACTGGCTACCCATCTGCAGAAGACTGAAACTGAAGCCCTTCCTTACACCATATACAAAAATTATCTCAAGATGGATTAAACACTTAAATGTAAAACCTAAAACTATAAGAATTCTGGGGGATAACCTGGGAAACACCATTCTGGACAAAGGACCTGGAAAAGATTTTATGACCAAGATGCCAAAAGCAATTGCAACAGAAACACAAATTGACAATTGGAACCTAAATAAACTAAAGAGCTTCTGCACAGCAAAAGAAACTATCAACAGAGTAAACAGACAATCTATTAAATGGGAGAAAATATTAGCAAATTATGCACCCAACAAAGGTCTAATATCCAGAATCTATAAGGAACTTAAAGTAACATGCATAAAAAAAACAACCCTATCAAAAAGCAGGCAAGGGATGCAGACATTTTTCAAAATAAGGTATAGACCCAGCCAACACGCATATGACAAAATTTTCAGTATCACTAATTATTAGAGAAGTGCGAATCAAATTCAAAATGAGATTCCATCTCACACCAGTCAGAATTGCTATTGTTATTATTATTTTTTTTATTTTTTTTTAGGTTCTGGGATACATGTGCAGAATGTGCAGGTTTGTTACATAGGTAAATGTGTGTCACAGTGGTTTGCTGCACCTATCAATCCATCACCTACGTATTAAGCTCCACATGCATTAGCTGTTTGTCCTGCTGCTCACCTCCCTCTGCCCCCTGACAGGCCCCAGTTCGTGTTGTTCCCCTCCCTGTGTCAATGTGTTCTCGTTGTTCAGCTCCCACTTATGAGTGAGAGTATATGGTGCTTGGTTTTGTTTTCCTGTGTTACTTTGCTGAGGATGATGCCTTCCAGCTCCAAAAGACATAATCTCATTCATTTTTATGGCTGCATAGTATTCCATGGTGTATATGTACCACATTTTCTTTGTCCAGTCTATCATTAATGGGTTTTGGGTTGATTCCATATCTTTGCTATTGTGAATAGTGCTGCAATAGACATATGTGTGCATATATCTTTATAACAGAATGATTTATATTCATTTGGGGATATACCCAGTAATTGGATTGCTCGGTCAAATGGTATTTCTGGTTCAGGATCCTAGAGGAATCACCATACTGTCTTCCACAATGGTTGAACTAATTTACATTCCCACCAACAGTGTAAAAGCTCAGAATGGCTATTATTAAAAAGTCAAAAAATGACAGATGCTGGTGAGGTGTTGGGAAAATGGAACACTTTTTGCTTCTAACATAGACTCCTTTATGTTATATCCCACCTCTTTTGCCGTCCTCACCCCTACCTCCAGCTCAATCAGTTGTAGCAATGCCCTGTCCTCAGAATATCTGCCTTTTCACTTCTCTCATGACTTTTGGTTCTTAGATTTTTGTAGTTGCTTCCAACCTTGCCTCTTTCCAATCCAATTGCCATCCTAGATTGGTCTACCTTTCTCACAAACCTTCTGAAATCTTCAATGGCTTCTGATCACCCATCATTTAATAATAAGCATAGACACAATTTATTGAGTGTCTCATAAGTGAAAGATGTTCTTAGGAAACTTCTATGCTTAATCTTCGCAGCAAATCTGCCAGTTGGGATTATCCACAATTTTAAAAAACAGAAAATACCCTCCAATGATTAAAAATCAAAATACAACATGAAAGCTGAACCCCTCTGTGATTTGCCTTGTTTACTTCCTCAGCCTCCATCTTTTCCTCCACTTGCTCCCAAAGCTCCAATTACCACATTGCTTCATTATCGGTCCTTCTACCTGAAATGTTTTCCTTCTCATAATTTCCTGGCAGAGTATATACATCCATCAGGTTTCAGTGCTTTAAAGATACATGCCTTAACCCACCTAGCCTGGTTTTGATTTCTCTTAATTGTATTTACTTCATCTTACCAGTTATCACTCTGTGAGTTCCTTGAAGGTAAACACTTTGTCTTATTCATGCATGTGTTCCCAAGCAATATGGAGAGTGTGGCACTTATTATCATAAACAAAACTTATTATCATTTTCTGCACTACCTACAATGTGTCAGACAGTTTACCAAACACTTTTATGTACTCAATTATTTTAATCCTCACAATGATGCTTTTAGGTTGGTATCACTGCCCTCTTTTTAACAATAAAGAAACTGACACTGGAGAAAGTAATTTACCTGAGACTCATAGTTATTAAGTGGTAGAGCCATAGATTCTAACTGTGCCTAACTCAAACGTTTGGAGTTGAGGTTCTTTGGCCCTTCACTCTCAATTTCCATTCCCCACATTTGGCAAACTGCCCAAATCCTGTAAATATTGTTCCTATTTTCCACTACCTTACAAGGTTACAATAAAAAATAAAGGCTGAAAAAATGAGATATGAACGTATTGAAGAGGAAGCAAGCATTTAAGACAGAGGTCCCTTTTATACAGGAAAAAGGAAGAGGAAGTGTAGGACAGGCAGGGACAATTGAACCCGCTATTTCAGAAACCAAAAGGTCAACTCCCAGAAGGAAAGGGCAGCTTACAAAGCACGCCCTCAAGAAGGGAGGAGGACTGGAGAATGGAGGCATTTCCCTGTGCTAAGAGATAACAAAAGTTGATAAAGTGGTCATGTCCTGACAGGCACCTTTTGCTCTGTCCCTACAAGCACAAGCAACGTGATTTTTATTTATCTTTTCTTCACTGATTACATTTTATTTTGGCCATTTTCTCCCTCAGGTATCTAGGTCTTTCAAGCGTGGCTGCAGTTGACAGCAGGAAAGTTCATGTTCTCCTCCATTCCCAAGCATGGAGGGGGAGAAAAGGCAGCAGGATTGCAGATTCAATTTGCTCTTCCCTCTCCCCCTCCCCTGAGCCTCGCAGATGAGACAATAGAAGAGGACTTACCTGTAGTTTATCATCCCTAGGTGTCCAGACCACTCCCCCAAGCCAGTGGGGATTCCACTTCCTCTTCACCAGCATTCCCTGGAATGGACCCTTGCCTAGGCTACAGAGGCACTTGTTTCCCAGCCAATGGTGAGTGCATGGGCCGCTGGCCCTTACCAATGGCCAAGGATAAGGGCAGGGCGGGGTATGGGAGTTGAGCCTGAAGCAGCGGTGAAGAGGCTGACCCTGTGTTGCTTCTGCAAAGTAGACTCAGTGGAAACAATGAGTTCCATTAAAGTCTATTACACCAGCATGTCAGGCTCTAGGGAGGTGAGTGGGAAGAAAAGAACCTCAGCCAGTGGGGTGGGGATAGTGGGTAGGAGTGAAGACTTAAGATTGTGCTAAGACATTATCAGCCCGTTTCTGCCTTCTATTCTTCAACTCTAAGTTTTCAAAGGTGGGAGGTGCAAGGAAAACAGAGAAAGTGATTATTGCCCTCACTTAGGTTGTGCTCTTAGAATGGAATGATCCGGGAGGTTTCAGTATTCTGAGCTCAACCATCTTAAGGTCCTCCAATAATTTTGCAGATGTTTCAAATGGAAGAAGTAAAAAATCCTGTTTAGTACAGAAGAGGAAAAATGTCAGTGAGTGAATGGCCAAAATCATCCAAGAAGTCAAGGCAACCTAAAAGAAGGGCAAACTGGTTGTTGATTTCTAAGAAGCAATTGTATTTGCATAGATGAGACATTTCTTAGATGAATTAAAGTTTAGATGAATTATTTTGACGGGGATAAAAGAAATATTATAGAACCATGCCTTCCAACAGAAATATAATGTGAGTCACATATCAAATTTAAAAAATTGTAGTTGCCACTTAAAAAAGATACTAAAGTTTTATTTGACACAAAATTTACAAAATATCATTGCAATATGTAGTCAATGTTTTTAAAAGATGTTACTTATTCTTTTTTTCACATTGTCTTCAAAATCCAGCATGGATTTGCGCGCATATGGCACATCTCATTTTGGACTAGCGACTTTTCAAGAACACAAAAGTCACATGTGACTAGTGGTTATCACATTGGATAGCACAGTTAAAGACAGACGATTATATGACTTAGAACCTCATTCTGCAAAGTTTTTAGAGAAGAATGAAAACTGAAGGATGTGGAGATTATTATAAATGGTTGACAAACACTCTACATGATTGCTATGTGCCAGACGCCATGATAACTGCAGACAGGAATGAGGTTTGATCTCAGCCTAGAAAGAGTGCATTGCTGTTGCATAAAACCTGGTCTGGTAGATTAGTGATTTCACTTGGGTATTAAGAAACAACGATAGCAAAAGGCTGTTTTTAAAAAGAAAGTTATGAAGAATGGGAGGGGTGTGGGTAATGAGAAATTACTTAATGAGTACAATGTACATTATTCAGGTGATGGACACACTAAAAGACCCGACTTCACCACTCTGCAGTATACCCATGCAACAAAACTGCAGTTGTACCCCATACATTTATACGGATTTAAAAAAGAAAGAAAGAAAGAAAAAGAAAATTATGGACTATTTGACTAGTTGCTGTTGTTTTTAACACTGTGATTTATGTTATTGAGTACCAGTACTAAGCATCCATAAGAAAGAATAATTTAATAAATAAAGACCATGATGGGTGCAGCAAAAGATTCACCCAACTATTGGTCCATGACTCCCAAACTGTAGCAAAAAAATCATCTAGAGGACTTGTTAAAACAGATACCTAAGACACATTCCCAGTGAGTCTGATTTTGTAGACTTAAAGTGTAGTAATGCTGATGCTGCCAGTCTGTGAATCACACGCAGAATAACATTGGTCTAGGCTGTTCTTCTCTTAATGGTTTCCTTTGAAAAGGTTTTGAAAAACTACTACAAAAATGTGACATGTCACATTCAACATGCTTTTGCAACCTCAAAATCTAAGAAGGCTTAGAAGGTAGAAATGCTGAATTTTGGAACTTCAGAATTTTTTCTGCTGTCTGTTGGAAATAGGCAGAGTTTCTTAAGCATGGCTGGAATATTTGCAAGTCATTAAACAAAAAGCCCACTGACTTTCACAGGAATCCCACTTGAATAAACTGGGGTTTGTACCTCTCAAATTACTTTCACATATGTTTTCTCCTGCTAGCATTAGAGGTTTTATGTGACAAAATGGTCTAAGATTGTTGTGCAAAAACACAGAAACCTCAACCTTTACCTAACATTCATGCTGTACTTATTTTTAAAATTGTAGTTAAAAAATATGTTTAAAAGACAGCCAACTATTAACATTTTACTTTAGCAGTTACATGTGTTTCAGGGGAAAAGGCAATGGAAAAAAACAGTCTGTTAACAGATGATACAAATCTTACAGTTCACACGAGAGAACATAGCAAGAACTGACCACTTTTATCCACTCACGTATTTGTAAATATTAATCCCCTTGTGTATTTATTTTCTTTTATTTTTGCATCCTGTGGATTTTATCTCTATATTTAGGCATAGTCTATGATTATAATTTGGAACTTGTAGTATGGTTTCCACAAACTTAAAAACCTGGTATCATGTCCATTTCCTACGCAAAGCTGCCATAGATATTAGCATAAATTAATGCAGTGAGGAGTGCAAAGGCTGCCTCAAGTGTTAGCAGAATGTTCTTACCACTTCAAGTGTGTTATGAAATCAATCTGGTAAATATTTATAACCCATTAGGGATTTTCTGCCCCCACTAAAATTCTTTATATATATATGAAAATGAACATGATACCAGGTTTTTTAATTTGAGGAAAACATACTACAAGTTCCAAATCACAATCAGAAACTATGCCTAAATATAGAAATAAAACCCATGGGAGGATGAAAAATAAAATATATATTATATATCAAATACAGCTATTTAATATATTTATATATTACATATATGTGTGTATATATATGATTTCACAAGAAAGTTATCTAACTTTTGCCCCTCAAAGAAAATTACACCGTTAAAAGCTGTTCCTGTTCCATAATATAATGGACAGGGAAAATGAAAAAAATATAAAAACATTGGGACCAGCCAGCAGATTAACATCTTTCTATTTCTCTCTCCCTCTATCTAGGTGAAGCAGAGACAAGAAGAAGTTACTAGAATTTTAGAGAGTTACAATATAAAGTATGAATTAACAGATGTTTCTATCAGTTTTAAAGTACTTCAATAAATGAGAATAAAGGTTTCTACCCTTAAGGCTCTACCACCTCAGATATTCAATGGTCAAGAATATCGTGGAGTAAGAGTAAATGTCCATTGTTATTTTATTTTGACACCTTAAGGTAATATACATGGGGAAATATTACATTTATGGAGTATGAGATTCAGATTTACCTATCTACAGAATAACTTAACTATGTCTCTGAAGACAAAACAATTTGTACTTTTGATAAAAAGATTATCATAAAAGAAAAATATATCATGCCACTTGTTTTGGGATACTTATGCAGTAGTTTTCACCATACATTATAATATGAAATGACTAGTGTTCTGGGGAAATTTTTCTTCTAACAGTTGGCAGAGGTTTGCAAATGTCCAGCAAGATAATTAGCAAACTTAACCTATATACCTGAACTTAATAACTTCATAATTAAAAATTATCAGCAGTAGTATTACAAATTAATTATTTTTGGCATTTTGAAATGTTTTACAAAGCAAAGGAGAATAAAGAGATTCTGAAATTCCTGAAGATGGAATGAATGGATAGTTATGATACAAGAGACACTTACTGGTATGGATCCACATATACATCCATATATATCAGTTACTTTTAAAACTATAAAAACAGAACTCTTTCACTAACATAACCAGTTTGACACATGGGCCTTTCCTGTTTCAATCGCGCATTAAAATTATTTCATTACACTGTGAATATTTTATATAGCTGTGTAAAAAACATTGTAAATTGTCTATCATAATCAAACTTTTAAGAATCACTATCCATTTATAGGCAAGAAATATACTTTCAGTATAATTTTAAATTTGCTTTCAGTTTTATTTTGTAAGTGCTTCTTTTTAAAAAAATTTATTTTTTTTAAGTTCCAGGGTACATGTGCAGGACATGCAGGTTTGTTACACAGGGAAATGTGTCCATGGTGGTTTGCTGCACCTATCAACTCATCACCTAGGCATTAAGCCCAGCATGCATTAGCTCTTTTCCCTAACGCTCTACCCCTGCCATCCTCCCCTGACAGGCCCCAAATACCGTATATTCTCACTTATAAATGGGAGTTGAACAATGAGAACACACGGACACAGGGAGGGTAAATACTTCTTAGTACACTTAACTGAGTTTTAAATACCATACTGGGGCTATTTGTTCAAAAAAAAAAAAAGGAAAGAAAAAAACAGATCACTGGCCTTATTCTAAGTCCTCCTAAAAAGAAAATAGAGAACAGAGTAAAAATCTATATTCTTAACAAGGTCTCAAGTGATTTTTCTTGTACACTGAAATCTGGGAACCAATACTAAAGAATAACAATAGTTTTAGGTCACCTCTCCCTTGCCCCCACCTCCATTATAAAATGATAGTCTTCTTCCAAATCTGTTTCTTCTCCAGTTGTTCTATCATGTTGAATGGCAAGTCCATCCACTCAAATCCCAATTCAGAAACTTGGTAGTCATCCTTAATATCACACACTCCCTCACCCCCATATGGAACGAATCACCAAGCCCTAGATGGGTTAGTCTCAACATTTCAGTTACACTCTACTTCTCCAGCTGTTGCCTTTGTTCATGTCCTCATCACTCTTGCCTGCACTACTGCAATGATATATTAACTAACCCCCTATTTCTAATTTTACTATTCTGATGTCTGCCCTCTACACTGCTGCTAGATTAGTGCTTTTCAACCTTGGCTGAACACTGGAATCTTCTAAGGAATTTTTAAAACTGTAATGTCGGCCGGGCGCGGTGGCTCACGCCTGTAATCCCAGCACTTTGGGAGGCCGAGGCGGGCGGATCACGAGGTCAGGAGATCGAGACCATCCCGGCTAAAACGGTGAAACCCCGTCTCTACTAAAAATACAAAAAAAATTAGCCGGGCGTAGTGGCGGGCGCCTGTAGTCCCAGCTACTTGGGAGGCTGAGGCAGGAGAATGGCGTGAACCCGGGAGGCGGAGCTTGCAGTGAGCCGAGATCCTGCCACTGCACTCCAGCCTGGGCGACAGAGCGAGACTCCGTCTCAAAAAAAAAAAAACAAAAACAAAACAAAAAAAAAAAAACTGTAATGTCTGCATCACACTCTTAATGATTCTAATGGGCAGCTAGGGTTCAGAACAACGGCATTAAAGGAGTCATTTTAAAAATAAGTTTAATACAGTCTACATAGCCTGCAACAGAAAGTTTCTCAGCATTTGGTGTAGGAAATTCACGTTCCTTAGAATCATCTGGAGTGCAGAACCCTAAAGCTGGGGCCAAGATAGTTGAATTTTAAATGAGTAGCTCCAGGTGCTTCTTAAACAGTAATTTTTGAAACCTATTGATCAATATGCCTCTATACTCATTCGCTGAAATCGGCATCTGTAGATCATTCTTTTCCACCTCTCCGTTACATCCATCCTTCTCCACCATGCATCACCATCACCTTTGCATTTCCTTGCCTTTTTGCAGACACTTGTAGTCCTGCTTCATCCCACCATCTGCTTGACAGTAATCATTGATCTTTGAAGTACAACTTCCCTATAAGGTTTTTCTTGACATCTTCCTTCTCTAATTGAATGTAACTCCATTCCTCTTTATGACCTAGATGACATTAATTGTCTACTTCTTCTATCACAGCCCTCATAAAAGTTTAGAACTATTGTCTACTTTAAAAGTAAAGCCAACACTTTTGAATACTTACTATATGCCCGGCACTTTACTAAAGTTTTTTTATATGAATATACCTCATGTAATCCTCACAACCCTATGAGGCAGGTACTATTTGTTAGCCCCACTACATGGAGGAGGAAAATGAGTTGCCAATTAGTAATTTGCACAAGATGACACAGCTAATAAGTGATAACGTCAGGTCTTGAACCCATTACAGACGCAAAATAAAAGGCCTTTCCTACACAATGGGGTTACAGGAAGAGGAGGGAGGATCTGAAAAGAGAGAAGACAGCAACAAAATGAGTCAGTAGTAGGGGTCCCTAAAAAAGAAGTCCTGGCCGGGCACGGTGGCTCATGCCTGTAATCCCACCACTTTGGGAAGTCGAGACAGGTGGATCACTTGAGTCCAGAAGTTAGAGACCAGCCTGGACAACATGGCGAAACCCCATCCATACAAAAAATATATAAAAAAAAAAATAGCCAGGCATGGTGGCACGCACCTGTAGTCTCAGCTACTCAGGAGGCTGAGGCAGGAGGATCGCTTGAGCCCAGCAGGGAGAGGTTGCAGTGAGCCGAGATCTTGCCACTGTAATCCAGCCTGGGCAACAGAGTCCCGTATCAAAAAAAAAAAAAAAAAAAAAAGTCCCTTCTTATGGTTAAAACCCAAAACCCAAAACCCCCAGGGAGATGGAGGAATAGACTCTTCAAAAATCTCTCAGCTAATTTTAGGAGGACCAGAAAGCAGAAATGACTGTTGTATCTCATTTCCAAAGTCTAGCCAGAGAAGACTGGCAGCCTCTCATTGCAACACAACTGCAGAGTTGCAGTGCCTAAGTGAGAGTCTAGGATGATGGGGTTCAGGGAAGCCTCACAAAGCCCTACGGCTCCATTTCGGTGAGTGAGACAGCCTTCCAAATTTCATATGCCTCCTGTGGAAATAAATGAAAACCACCAAAAATGAGAACAATTAAAGACTATTTATTCAGTTTGCTATAGCAAAGGAGTGAGCCACAATCACTTGCATTTTGCAGAGATTGAAAAGAAGGCAAAGAACTGGGAAATCTTTATGGCATAAAAAAAGGAAAAGCTTTATATACACCCTGATTGGAGGCTGTTGGCACGGGGAAGCTGAATTCAGGCTAACTAGAAGCAAGGCATCTTACATGATTGATTAAAGAAGCATAGTTGGCTTTCTCCAATTGGTCTTAAGTTGGAAGTAGGGACAAAAATTAGGGAAGCTGGCAGTTATTAACCAAGTACTAGCTGTTTGAGGCTGACTTCAAAGAGGCTGTGGTTTGATTTCATGAACAGTTTGCTGCAGAGTTCAAGATTTGGCTTTCTAGGTTGGATGTTGCAAGTTATGGGTTAGATATCTATTTTTTTATAAAAACTGTCCATCGTCTGTCTCTATATTCAGTTTCTCCACTCCAGGAGATGCTAAAAGATGTGAAGTGTGAGCTAGAAGATATAGAATATTCAAACTCAGAAAATGAATGATTAGAGACCTTTGTGAACCTGATGACAAATAAGTAGAGGGAAATATACAAATCACTCACAGTTTAAAGTTCATTTCTCCTTTAAAATAAAGACAATGCATACTATATACAAATGAGTTTTTCCCCCATTAACACCTTATTCCTCCAGCTTTCAGACACTGACTAAAAAATCTGAGGATTGTCACTTAGCATAATAACATTCCTTGGAGCTTCCCATAGGACTGTTAACCCGGGTGGCATAAAAACCTCTACTAATTTTGCCTATACAACACGCTGACAACCATCCACTGGGAAGGTCTTTTCTCTTCTCCTAAATCCCCTGTCATGGGTAAAAAGGTGACCCCTCCCCCCAAAAATAGATGTCTACATCTGAATCCCTGGAACCTGTGAATGTTACCTTATTTGGAAAAAGGGGTCTTTGTAAATGTAATTAAGGATTTTGAGATGAGGTGATCACCCTTAATTATCCAAGTGAACCCTAAATCCAATGACAACTTTCCTTATAAGGGTAAGGAAGAGGGAGATGATTAGACAGAGAGAAGAAAGAGGAGGCATTGTGATCATGGAAACAGAGATGGCAGTGATGCAGCCACATGCCAAGCACTTCCAGAAACCAACAGATGCCAAAACAGACTAAGAACATTTTATCCTCTAGAGTCTCCAGAGGGAATGTAGAAATGTTGATAGCTTCGTTTCAAACTTCTGGCTTCCGGAACTGTGAGAGAATAAATCTCCATTGTCTTAAGCCACTTATTTGTGATAGTTTGTTATGGAATTCACAGGAAGTTAATATATACCGCAACCGCCATTTCCCAAAAAGAAAGCAGAAGAGAATTAAAATATCTGGGATCACGGTTGAGGTTGAAAGAAGAAAAGGTTTCCCTTTACACTGATAAAGGATAGACACAGACATATTCCTAAGGTTGCACTATGGGTGAAAGCTAGTGGAATAAGGCAAGAGTCACTCTCAAATCCCAAGTACCTTTTATATTAATTCTGTAATGCAGAGACTTTGGAAAGAAAGGAGGTTATGTGAAATTAATATCTAGTAGTATGCTACTGGCCTTGTTGAGAAAAAGAAATAAAACAGCAGAAAATACTACAGTATATAGCACACATATAAAAGTACATAACTCAGAACTCACTCGAGGTGGAAAACCAGTGGGCACTGCTTGAAAACATTGTAAGGTGAATAAGAAACACACAGCCACCTGAAGCAAATCACTATGACCTATACATACAGCACACTGTCTAAATCTTGGTAGGAAAGCCTGAGAAGAAAGTTTCTTCGGGAAACTTGGGCATGCAAAAGTCCTCCTATATACCGGGGAATTTAAAAATAGACTTAATGCTAAGGACAGAATGCATGCTCAGAAAAGGCTTGAGAAGACCCTAAGATTTCACCTCTGGCTAATATCTAGACTCAAGGCAAGCAGAAAGTGAAGGTTATGTCAGACTTGCAAATGGCTTGGCTAAGCCTAAAAGCCTTGCCATAGCACAAAGCCAATACTCAAAGAGTGGGAGTGGTGTTTTGTATGTGTTTGTTTTTTTGAACTCCTCGACCTTAAGAAAATCTCAGAAAACACAAGCTGAACAGAAGCTAATAGAACTAGAGACTTCAGTGAACACAAGTTCAGTGAATACAATCTTTGCAATAGAAAAATAGAAAAACTGTAACTTTCAGGAATAAAGAACAACCAACCTTGGTAACTACATTATAATAGTCAAATGTGCAATTTTTGAAATACAATGAGTATACAAAGAAACAAAAAAGTACAGCCATTCAAAGGAAAAAATAAATCATTCCTGAGGAAGACCAGATATTGGACTTACCACACAAAGGCTTTAAGTCAACTGTATTAAATACACTCAAAGAGCTAATGGAAACTATGAATGAAGAACTAAAGGAAACCAAGAAAGCAATATATTGAACAAAATGAGAATTTTAATAAAAAGAAACTATAAAAAAGGAACCAAAGTGAAATTATTAAGGGAGGAGCCAAGATGGCCGAATAGGAACAGCTCCGGTCAACAGCTCCCAGCATGAGCAATGCAGAAGACCGGTGATTTCTGCATTTCCATCTGAGGTACCGGGTTCATCTTCACTAGGGAGTGCCAGACAGTGGGTACAGGTCAGTGGGTGTGCGCGCAGTGCGCGAGCCGAAGCAGGGCGAGGCATTGCCTCACTAAGGAAGTGCAAGGGGTCAGGGAGTTCCCTTTCCCAGTCAAAGAAAGGGGTGACAGACTGCACCTGGAAAATCGGGTCACTCCCAACCGAATACTGCGCTATTCCGATGGGCTTAAAAAACGGCGCACCAGGACATTATATCCCGCACATGGCTCAGAGGGTCCTACACCCACGGAGTCTCGCTGATTGCTAGCATAGCAGTCTGAGATCAAACTGCAAAGCGGCTGCGAGGCTGCGGGAGGGGCGCCCACCATTGCTCAGGCTTGCTTAGGTAAACAAAGCAGCCGGGAAGCTCAAACTGGGTGGAGCCCACCACAGCTCAAGGAGGCCTGCCTGCCTCTGTAGGCTCCACCTCTGGGGGCAGGGCACAGACAAACAAAAAGACAGCAGTAACCTCTGCAGACTTAAATGTCCATGTCTCACAGCTTTGAAGAGAGCAGTGGTTCTCCCAGCACGCAGCTGGAGATCTCAGAATGGGCAGACTGCCTCCTCAAGTGGGTCCCTGACCCCTGAACCCCGAGCAGCCTAACTGGGAGGCACCCCCCAGCAGGGGCAGACTGACACCTCACACGGCCAGGTACTCCAACAGACCTGCAGCTGAGGGTCCTCTCTGTTAGAAGGAAAACTAACAAACAGAAAGGACATCCACACCAAAAACCCATCTGTACATCACCATCATCAAAGACCAAAAGTACATAAAACCACAAAGATGGGGAAAAAACAGAACAGAAAAACTGGAAACTCTAAAAAGCAGAGCGCCTCTCCTCCTCCAAAGGAACAGAGTTCCTCACCAGCAAGGGAACAAAGCTGGACGGAGAATGACTTTGACGAGCTGAGAGAAGAAGGCTTCGGATGATCAAATTACTCCGAGCTAAGGGAGGAAATTCAAACCAAAGGCAAAGAAGTTGAAAACTTTGAAAAAAGTTTAGAAGAATGTATAACTAGAATAACCAATACAGAGAAGTGCTTAAAGGAGCTGATGTAGCTGAAAACCAAGGCTCGAGAACTACGTGAAGAATGCAGAAGCCTCAGGAGCCGATGCGATCAACTGGAAGAAAGGGTATCAGCGATGGAAGATGAAGTAAATGAAATGAAGTGAGAAGGGAAGTTTAGAGAAAAAAGAATAAAAAGAAACAAGCAAAGCCTCCAAGAAATATGGGACTATGTGAAAAGACCAAATCCGCATCTGATTGGTGTACCTGAAAGTGACGGGGAGAATGGAACCAAGCTGGAAAACACTCTGCAGGATATCATCCAGGAGAACTTCCTCAATCTAGCAAGGCAGGCCAACATTCAGATTCAGGAAATACAGAGAATGCCACAAAGATACTCCTCGAGAAGAGCAACTCCAAGACACAAAATTGTCAGATTCACCAAAGTTGAAATGAAGGAAAAAATGTTAAGGGCAGCCAGAGAGAAAGGTCGGGTTACCCACAAAGGGAAGCCCATCAGACTAACAGCGGATCTCTTGGCAGAAACTCTACAAGCCAGAATAGAGTGGGGGCCAATATTCAACATTCTTAAAGAAAAGAATTTTCAACCCAGAATTTCATATCCAGCCAAACTAAGCTTCATAAGTGAAGGAGAAATAAAATAGTTTACAGACAAGCAAATGCTGAGAGATTTTGTCACCACCAGGCCTGCCCTAAAAGAGCTCCTGAAAGAAGCACTAAACATGGAAAGGAACAACCGATACCAGCTCCTGCAAAATCATGCCAAAATGTAAAGACCATCAAGACTAGGAAGAAACTGCACCTACTAACGAGCAAAATAATCAGCTAACATCATAATGACAGGATCAAATTCATACATAACAATATTAACTTTAAATGTAAATGGACTAAATGCTTCAATTAAAAGACACAGACTGGCAAATTGGATAAAGACTCAAGACCCATCAGTGTGTTGTATTCAGGAAACCCATCTCTTGTGCAGAGACACACATAGGATCAAAATAAAAGGATGGAGGAAGATCTACCAAGCAAATGGAAAACAAAAAAAGGCAGGGGTTGCAACCCTAGTCTCTGATAAAACAGACTTTAAACCAACAAAGATCAAAAGAGACAAAGAAGAACATTACATAATGGTAAAGGGATCAATTCAACAAGAAGAGCTAACTATCCTAAATATATATGTACCCAATACAGGAGCACCCAGAATCATAAAGCAAGTCCTGAGTGACCTACAAAGAGACTTAGACTCCCACACAATAATAATGGGAGACTTTAACACCCCACTGTCAACATTAGACAGATCAGTGAGACAGAAAGTTAACAAGGATACCCAGGAATTGAACTCAGCTCTGCACCAAGCAGACCTAATAGACATCTACAGAACTCTTCACCCCAAATCAACAGAATATACATTTTTTCAGCACCACACCACACCTATTCCAAAATTGACCACATAGTTGGAAGTAAAGCTCTCCTCAGCAAATGTAAAAGAACAGAAATTATAACAAACTCTCTCTCAGACCACAGTGCAATCAAACTAGAACTCAGGATTAAGAATCTCACTCAAAACCACTCAACTACATGGAAACTGAACAACCTGCTCCTGAATGACTACTGGGTACATAACGAAATGAAGGCAGAAATAAAGATGTTCTTTGAAACCAATGAGAACAAAGATACACCATAACAGAATCTCTGGGACGCATTCAAAGCAGTGTGTAGAGGGAAATTTATAGCACTAAATGCCCACAAGAGAAAGCAGGAAAGATCCAAAATTGACACCCTAACATCACAATTAAAAGAACTAGAAAAGCAAGAGCAAACACATTCAAAAGCTAGCAGAGGGCAAGCAATAACTAAAATCAGAGCAGAACTGAAGGAAATAGAGACACAAAAAACCCTCCAAAAAATTAATGAATCCAGGAGCTGGTTTTTTGAAAGGGTCAACAAAATTGATAGACCGCTAGCAAGACTAATAAAGAAAAAAAAGAGAGAAGAATCAAATAGACACAATAAAAAATGATAAAGGGGATATCACCACTGATCCCACAGAAATACGAACTACCATCAGAGAATACTATAAACACCTTTACGCAAATAAACTAGAAAATCTAGAAGAAATGGATAAATTCCTCGACACATACACTCTCCCAAGACTAAACCAGGAAGAATTTGAATCTCTGAATAGATCAATAACAGGAGCTGAAATTGTGGCAATAATCAATAGCTTACCAACCAAAAAGAGTCCAGGACCAGATGGATTCACAACCGAATCCTACCAGAGGTACAAGGAGGAACTGGTACCATTCCTTCTGAAACTATTCCAATCACTAGGAAAAGAGGGAATCCTCCCTAACTCATTTTATGAGGCCAGCATCATCCTGATACCAAAGCCGGGCAGAGACACACCAAAAAAGAGAATTTTAGACCAATATCCTTGATGAACATTGATGCAAAAATCCTCAATAAAATACTGGCAAAACGAATCCAGCAGCACATCAAAAAGCTTATCCACCATGATCAAGTGGGCTTCATCCCTGGGATGCAAGGCTGGTTCAATATACACAAATCAATAAATGTAATCCAGCATATAAACAGAACGAAAGACAAAAACCACATGATTATCTCAATAGATGTAGAAAAGGCCTTTGACAAAATTCAACGACTCTTCATGCTAAAAACTCTCAATAAATTAGGTATTGATGGGACGTATCTCAAAATAATAAGAGCTATCTATGACAAACCCACAGCCAATACCATACTGAATGGGCAATAACTGGAAGCATTAGCTTGGAAAACTGGCACAAGACAGGGATGCCCTCTCTCACCACTCCTATTCAACATAGTGTTGGAATTTCTGGCCAGGGCAATTAGGCAGGAGAAGGAAATAAAGGGTGTTCAATTAGGAAAACAGGAAGTCAAATTGTCCCTGTTTGCAGACGACATGATTGTATACCTAGAAAACCCCATTGTCTCAGCCCAAAATCTCCTTCAGCTGATAAGCAACTTCAGCAAAGTCTCAGGATACAAAATCAATGTACAAAAATCACAAGCATTCTTATACACCAACAACAGACAAACAGAGAGCCAAATCATGAGTGAACACCCATTCACAATTGCTTCAAAGAGAATAAAATACCTAGGAATCCAACTTACAAGGGATGTGAAGGACCTCTTCAAGAAGAACTACAAACCACTGCTCAAGGAAATAAAAGAGGACACAAACAAATGGAAGAACATTCCATGCTCATGGATAGGAAGAATCAATGTCGTGAAAATGGCCATACTGCCCAAGGTAATTTACAGATTCAATGCCATCCCCATCAAGCTACCAATGACTTTCTTCACAGAATTGGAAAAAACTAAAGTTCATATGGAACCAAAAAAGAGCCCGCATCGCCAAGTCAATTCTCAGCCAAAAGAACAAAGCTGGAGGCATCACGCTACCTGACTTCAAACTATACTACAAGGCTACAGTAACCAAAACAGCATGGTACTGGTACAAAAACAGAGATATAGATCAATGGAACACAACAGAGCCCTCAGAAATAATGCCACATATCTACAACTATCTGATCTTTGACAAACCTGAGAAAAACAAGCAATGGGGAAAGGATTCTCTATTTAATAAATGGTGCTGGGAAAACTGGCTAGCCATATGTAGAAAGCTGAAACTGGATCCCTTCCTTACACCTTATACAAAAATCAATTCAAGATGGATTAAAGACTTAAACGTTAGACCTAAAACCATAAAAAACCCTAGAAGAAAACCTAGGCATTACCATTCAGGACATAGGCATGGGCAAGGACTTCATGTCTAAAACAACAAAAGCAATGGCAACAAAAGCAAAAATTGACAAATGGGATCTAATTAAACTAAAGAGCTTCTTCACAGCAAAAGAAACTACAATCAGAGAGAACAGGCAGCCTACAAAATGGGAGAAAATTTTCGCAACCTGCTCATCTGACAAAGGGCTAATATCCAGAATCTACAATGAACTCAAACAAATTTACAAGGAAAAAACAAACAACCCCATCAAAAAGTGGGCGAAGGACATGAACAGACACTTCTCAAAAGAAGACATTTATGCAGCCAAAAAACACATGAAAAAATGCTCACCATCACTGGCCATCAGAGAAATGCAAATCAAAACCACAATGAGATACCATCTCACACCAGTTAGAATGGCAATCATTAAAAAGTCAGGAAACAACAGGTGCTGGAGAGGATGTGGAGAAAAGGGAACACTTTTATACTGTTGGTGGGACTGTAAACTAGTTCAACCATTGTGGAAGTCAGTGTGGTGATTCCTCAGGGATCTAGAACTAGAAATACCATTTACCCAGCCATCCCATTAGTGGGTATATGCCCAAAAGACTATAAATCATGCTGCTATAAAGACACATGCACACATATGTTTATTGTGGCATTATTCACAATAGCAAAGACTTGGAACCAACCCAAATGTCCAACAATGATAGACTGGATTAAGAAAATGTGGCACATATACACCATGGAATACTATGCAGCCATAAAAAATGATGAATTCATGTCCTTTGTAGGGACATGAATGAAATTGGAAATCATCATTCTCAGTAAACTATCGCAAGAACAAAAAACCAAACACCGCATATTCTCACTCAGGTGGGAATTGAACAATGAGAACACATGGACACAGGAAGGGGAACATCACACTCTGGGGACTGTTGTGGGGTGGGGGGAGGGGAGAGGGATAGCACTGGGAGATATACCTAACGCTAGATGACGAGTTAGTGGGTGCAGCGCACCAGCATGGCACATGTATACATATGTAACTAACCTGCACATTGTGCACATGTACCCTAAAAGTATAATAATAATAAATTTAAAAAAAGAAATTATTCAGCTTACAATAACTGAAATTTAAAAAATACTAGAGATTCAAAACATATTTTAAGAGAGAGGAGAAAGATTCAGCAGACTTGAAGACAAGACAATTGAAATAATCCAGTCTGAGAGGCAGAAAAAAATGTACTAAGGTGAACAGATCCTAAGGGACTAGTGGGACTCTATCAAGCAAATCAACACACATGTGCATAATGAGAACAGCAATGCAAAAGGGAAAGAAACAGAATGATTATTTGAAGAAATAACAAAACAATACAAATTTGATAAAATACATGAATCTACACATCCAAAAACTCAACAGACTTTAAGTAAGATACATTCAAAGAGATTCACAAGGAAATGCATTATAATCAAACTGTCAAAAGCTTAAAACAAAAGGGCACTCTTGAAAGCAGCAAGAGAAGTGGATCATCGAATACAAGGAATCCTCAATAAGAACAACAGCCAATTTCTCATCGCAAACCACGGAGTCCAGAAAGCAGTGAGATAACATATTTAAGGTGTTAAAAGAAAAATAAAACATGTCAAGCAAGAATCCTAAAAATTATGTTTCAGAAATGTAGGAAAAATTAAGACATACACAGGTAAACCAATGTTGAGACAGTTTATTGCCAATAAGTCTGCCATATAACAAATGCCAAAGGGAGTCATTTGGGTTCAAATGGAATGACACCAGACTTCATTAAAAAGACAAGAATTGATTTAAAATACAAATGCATAAAAAATAAATCAGTTATTGATTACGCAATGTAAAAAGATGTAATTTGTGAAGAGAACAACAAGATAAAGAGGGGAGACACAGAGCTATATAGGCACAAAGTTTTTATATGCTACTGAAAATAAGGTTATATCAATTAAGACTACACTGTTATAAATTAAGAATGTGAATTATAATTCCCATGGTAATCACTAAGAAAATATTTTTAAAATATAGGTGAAAGGCAATGAGAAGGGAATGAAAATTCCCTACAATACAATAAAAAAAAATACAAATGAAAGCACTAATGAAGAGATGAGGGACAGAAACGGTATGAAATTTATCAAAACAAAAACAAAAATGTCTGAAGTTTTATTTATCAGTAATTACTTCTAAATGTAAGTGAATTAAACTCTTAAATCAATAGGAAAATTGGCAGAATGGATTAAAAAACATGGTCCATCCGGGTGTGGCAAAATGGCTGACTAGAAGTGGCTAGTGTGCTCCACTCTCACGGAGAGATGAAAGAGTGGCAAATAAACACTAGCTCTTCAATTGGAACATCTAGGTGGACAAAATGCGATTCATCAAGGAAACAAAACAATCCACAGGGAACGGAGAAGAGTAAGACAGCACAACTCACCAGGGTATGGCATCCTTGGGCTCAGGAGATCCCTTGTGAGCCCCCACCCCTACCACCCACCCCCACCCCCACCCCCAGGCCTCCAGATCAACACGGAGAGCTACTGGGACTCTTGGCAGAGCTGCTGCTCAGGCGCACATGGAGTTCCAGAAGCTTTGGATCCCTGGGAACACGGGAACCAGTAGCTGCAGCTCATGCAATGGAGGATGCCAGGCTCCCTCAGACACACCCAAGAAAGGGGCCAAATCCATGGGGTTGAGCAGGGCCAGACTGCAGGCCTCACCTGCACGGCGTCTTGCAGAATAAGAACCACTGGCCTGGGATGCTAGTGAGGCCACCCCAGCCCTATCTAAGTTCTCAGGCCAAGAGCTCCGTGCACTTCCCTGGGACAAAGCTCTCAGAGGGAGAAGCAGGCTGCCATTTTTCCTGCTCAGCACCTCTCACTCCTGTTGCCCTCAGGCTCAGAAAGGTGTGCAGTGATTAGGGACTACCATGGACCCCCCAGCACAGTGCAGCTGCCTTATGGAAAAGTGGTCACACTGCCTTCCATGTGGGTCCCCCACCCTGCTACTACTCACTGGGAACGGCCTAGGGACATGGGACCCCAGCCACACCCTGCCTGGGCTCTCGGGCTGGTAGCAGCTCTGTACTTCCCTGGAACAGAGCTCCTTGAGGGATAAGGCAGGCTGCAGTTTTGCTTCTCTGCAGCCCTTGCTTCTGTTGCCCTCAGGCTTGGGAGGGTACACAGTGATTAGAGAGTAATGGATACCCCTAGCATAGCACAGTTGTGTCAAGGAAAAGCAGCCAGACTGTTTTTCACGTTGGTCCCCCACTTCTACTACTCTTTACCGAGCAGTGCCTCTCTACCTAGGCACCAAGCACACCCTGCCCCTTCCTCAACACTTCAGTGGGTGGTGCCTCTGCATTTATTTCAGGAGAAAATTCCAGAAACAACTCACAGCCACTCTGCTATTGCAGCTGCTTACTGTCCTTCCTTACTATAAGCTTCCTTACTGTCCTTGGGTTGGGGAAAAAACAAAGGGCCTGATTGTTATGCTGGAACCCCCAGCATGCCATAGCCACTATATGGAGAGAGGTCCAGTCTCTCTTACCTGTGACCCTCCAACCCCCAATCCTCACCAGGCAGGGCCCTCAACTCAGAACCACAGAATAGTCACCCCACCCCTAGCTGAGCATTCAGCCACTGTGATCCTGATCCGCCTCTAGTGGCTCTGTGTTTCCCTGGGGACAGGCTCATAGAGGCAACCAAAATCCAGCAGTAGGTCTGCCCCTGATGCCCTCAGACTGAAGAAGAAACAGAGCCTGAGGGCTTTGATCGTGCTTCCAGCAAGACACAGTCACCCCACAGGGAGAGGAGCCCAGTCTCTTCTCCCTGTGAGCCCCGCTCTTCTCCAAGTGGGGCCCTCAGCAAGGGCCAGCAGCACAGCTGCCCCACTCCTGGCTGAACATTCCCAGTAGCAGTGGCTCTTCATATTTCTGAGGTGGAGTTTCCAGAGGCAACCGAAAGCACCTCTGCACTGCTGCCAATGGTACTGCCCTTACTGCCCTTGGACTGGGGAAAAGAATCTGCATGCTTTAACCACACCTTCAACAAGCAGCACAGCTGTCCTAAGGAACAGAGGCCAGTCTGTCTCCCCATGAGCCCCCCAGCCACTGCTCATCATCGGGCAGGGCTCTCCACCTTGGGCCTACAATGCAGCCTCCCCACCCCAGGCCAGTCACACCTATGGACAGTAGCTCTGCATTTCTCTGGGGTGAATCCCCAAGAAACAAGTAAAAAGCTCTCTGCCACAGCCACTGCCAAGGTCCCTCCCCCTGCTGGATCGAAGCTGGGAAAGAAACATAAACACTGAGTTCACCCCAGGGCTGCAGTGTGCAGCTCTGGACTGCCAAGTCAAGATCTAGAGTCAGCACTCAAGTGAGAGAGGAGTCCACACTTTCAAAGAAGTGAAAGGGGGAATGGCTGCAATTGTGAGGAAATGCATAGGAGCCACATAGCTGAGCAAGAGCCTACCTGCTGGTCATTACACTTAAGTGTTATCTACTGGATCACGCCCACATTTAAACACCAGAAACACTTTGCTATTATGACCCCCTGTGAAGCCAAGAAAGATAACTCAGCAACAAATAAGGATGCTGCACAAAGCTGTGGTCCTCTGAAAATATCGAGAAAAGAAGTCAATAGACTGTACTCGAATTACACCACAGTGAAAGGAACATCAGTCCACACAGATGAGAAAAAACAGTGCAATAACTCTGGCAACCCAAAAAGCCAGAGTGTCTTGTTCCTTCCAGATAATCGCACTACTTCCTCAGCAAGGGTTCTTACCAAGGCTGACATGGCTGAAATGTCAGAAATAGAACTGAGAATATGGAGAGGAATGAAGAGATCACTGACATTCAGGAGAAAGTTGAAACCCCATCCAAAGAATCTAAGGATTAGAATAAAAAGATACAGGAGCTGACAGACCAAATGGCATTATAAGAAAGAAACAAACTGATCAGATACAGCTGAAAAACACACTAAAAGAATTTCATAATAAAATCACAAATATTAACAGCAGATTACAACAAGCTGAGAAAAGAATTGCAGAGCTTGAAGACTGGTTTTCTGAACTAACTCAGTCAGACAAAGGTAAAGAAAAAAGAATTAAAAATGATTAACAAAACCTCCAAGAAATATGGGCTTATGTAAAGAGACCAAATCTATGACTCATTGGCATCACTGAAAGAGAAAGAGAAAAAGCAAGTAACTAGGAAAACATATTTCAAGATATTGTCAATGAAAATTTCCCCTGCCTCTCTAGAGAGGCCAATATTGAAATTCAGGAAATGCAGAGAACCCTTGCAAGACACTACCAAAAAAGACCATCCACAAGATACCTAGTCATCAGATTCTCCAAGGTTGAAATGAAAGAATAAATGTTAAAGGCACCTAAAAGAAGGGACAGGTCACCTACAAAGGGAACCCCATCAGGATAACAGCAGATCTTTCAGCAGAAACCCTACAATCCAGAAGAGATTGGGGACCTATATTCAACATTCCTAAAGAAAATAATTTCCAACCAAGAATTTCATATCCAGCCAAACTAAACTTAATAAGTGAAGGAGAAATAAGATCCGTTTCAGACAAGCAAATGCTAAGGGAATTTGTAAGCAAAAGACTTACCTTAAAAGAGGCCCCTAAATTAGTGCTAAATATGGAAAGGAAAGACTATTACCAAGCACTACCAAAGCACAGTTACATACATAGGCCATTGAAACTATAAAGCAACCACACAAAAAACACTGCATAATAACCAGCTGACAAACTGATGACAGGATCAAATCCACACATGTCAACATTAAACTTGAATATAATTGGGCTAATTGTACCAATTAAAAGGCATAGAATATCAAGCTGTAAAAAGAAGTATGACCTAATGGTATGCTGTCTTCAAAAGACACATTTCACATGCAATAATACACATAGGCTCAAAGTAAAGGGATGGAGAAAATTATACAAAGCAAACGGAAAACAGAAAAAAGAAGGAGCTGCAATTGTAATTTCAGACAAAACAGACTTTAAACCAACAAAGATCAAAAAAGACAAAGAAGGGCATTACCTAATGGTAAAGGGTTCAATTCAACAAGAAGACCTAAGTATCCTAAATATATATGCACTCAATGCAGGAGAAGAACGATTAATAAAGAAAGTTTTTAGAGACCGTTAAAGAGACTTAGACTCCCACACAATTACAGTGGGGGATGGTAACACCCCACTGACAGTATCAGACAGATCACTGAGGCAGAAAATTAACAAAGACATACCCAAAAACCACAGAATATACATTCTTCTCAATACCACATGGCACATACTCTAAAAATGATCACATCTCAATTCTTCTCAGCAAGTGCAAAATAACTGAAATCATAACAGAGAATCTCTCAGACCACAGTACAATCAAATTAGAAATCAAGACTGAGTAATTCACTTAAAACCATACAACTATATGGAAATTGAATAACCTGCTCTTGAATGACTTTCGGGTAAATAATGTAATTAAGGCAGAAATCAAGAAATTCTTTAAAACTTATGAAAACAAAGATACAACATACCAGAATCTCTGGGACACAGCTAAAGCAGTGTTGAGAGAGAAGGTTATAGCAGTAAACAGCCACATCAAAAAGTCAGAAAGATCTCAAATTAATAATCTAACATCACACATAGAAGAGCTAGAGAAACAAGAATAAACAACACCAAAGCCAGAAGAAGACAATAACCAAAATCAGAGCTGACTTGAAAGGAATTGGGAAACAATAACATACAAAAGATAAATGGATCCAGGGACCGGTTCTTTGAAAGAACTCATAAGATAGATAGATCACTAGTTAGTCTGATAGAAAAGGAGAAAGAGCCAAATAAACACAATTGGAAATGACAAAGGGGACATTTATCATTGAACACACAGAAATACTAAAACCCTCAGAGACTACCAAGAACACAAGTATGCACACAAAATGGAAAACCTAGAAGAAATGAATAAATTCATGGAAACATACAGGCTCTGACTACTGAATCAGGAAGAAATTGAAACCCTGAACAGACCAACAAGTTCTGAAATTGAATCAGTAATAAAAATCCTACTAACCAGAAGCCCAGAACCAGGGAAATTCACAGCCAAATTCTACCAGATGAATAAAGAAGAGCTGGTACCATTCCTACTGATATTATTCCAAAAAACTGAGGAGGAGAGATTCTTCCCTGAGTCATCCTATGAGCCCAGAATTATCCTGATACGAAAACCTGGCAGACGAACAACAACAACAACGACAACAATGAACTTCAGTCCAATATCCTTGATGAACACAGACACAAATTCCTCAACAAAGTACTAGCAAACTGAATCCAGCAGCATATAAAAAAACTAATCCACCACAATCAAGTAAGCTTGATCCCTAGGATGTAAAGTTGGTTCAACATACACAAATCAATAAATATGATTCATCACATAAACAAAACTAAAACCAAAAATGACATTGTCATCTCATAGATGCAGAAAAGGAACTTGATAAAATCCAACATCCTTCCATGTTAAAAACCTTTAACACACTGGGCATTGAATGAACACAATTCAAAATAATAAGAGCCACCTATGACAAACACACAACCAACATCACAGTAAGTGCACAAAAACTGGAAGCATTCCCCTTGAGGACTAGAACAAGAAAAGGATGCAGTCTCTCGACTCTCTTACTCAACATAGTACTGTAAGTCCTGGCCTGAGTAATCAGGCAAGAGGAAAAAATAAAAATAAAGGTCATCCAAAAGGAAGTCAAACTATCCCTGTTTGCAGATTATATGATTCTATATTTAGAAAACCCTAGAGTCTCTGACCAAAATCTCCTTGATAAGATAAACAACTTCAGTAAAGTTTTGGGATACAAAATTAGTATATAAAAATCAGTAGCATCCCTGTATACCAACAACATCCAAACAAAAAGCCAAATCTAGAACACAATCCCATTCACAATAGCCACAATAAATGGTGCTGGGATAATTGACTAACTATATGCAGAAAATTCAAACAGGACCCCTTCCTTACACCATATATAAAATCAACTCAAGATGAATTAAGGACTTAAATGTAAAACCTAAAGCTATAAAAAGGCTAGAAGATAACCTAGGCAATACAATTTTGGACATAGGACCTGGCAAATATTTCATGAAGATGTGAAAAGCAATTGCAACAGAAATACAAACTTATAAATGGGACCTAAATAAATGAAAGAGCTTCTGCATAGCAAAAGAAACTATCAGCAGAGTAAATAGACAACCTATTAAATTGGAGAAAATATTAGCAAACTATGCACCAGACAAAGGTCTAATATACAGCATCTATAAGGAACTTAAATTAACAAGCAAAGTACGTCCAGGTGCAGTGGCTCATGCTTGTAATTCCAGCACTTTGAGATGCCAAGGTGGGAGGATCCCTTGAGCCCAGGAGTTTGAGACCATTTTGGGGGACATGGTGAAATCTGGTCTGTACAAAAAATATAAAAATTAGCCATGTGTGGTGGCCTGCAGCTGTAGAACCAGCTACTCAGGAGGCTTATGTGGGAGGGTCACCTGAGCCTAGGGAGGTGGAGGCTGCAGTGAGCCAAGATCACAACACTGCACTCCAGTACTCCAGCCTGAGCAGGAAAGTAAAACCTTCTATCAAAAAAAAAAAAAAAAAAGGCAAAAACCAAACAACCCTATTAAAAGGTGGACAAAGGACATGAACAGAAATGTTTCAAAAGAAGACATACACATGGACAATAAGCATAAGATGGAAAGCTCCACATCACTAATCAGTAGAGGAATGCAAATCAAACCCCAAATAAGATTCCATCTTGCACTAGTCAAAAAGGCTATTGTTAAAATGGAAAAGAAAAAATGATCCTATATCTGGAAAACCCCTTCGTCTCAGGCTAAAAACTCCTTAAGCTGATAAGCAACTTCAGCAAAGTGTCAGGATACAACATCAATGTGCAAAAATCACAAGCATTTCTATACACCAACAATAGACAAGCAGAGAGCCAAATCATGAATGAACTCCCATTCACAATTGCTACAAAGAGAATAAAATACTTAGAAATGGAGTGAAAAGGGGAAGTGAAAGGCCTCTTCCAGGAGAACTACAAACCACTGCTCAAGGAAATAAGAGAGGAAACAAACAAATGAAAAAACATTCCATGATCACGGACAGAAAGAATCAATATCTTGAAAATGGCCATACTGCCCAAATTTATAGGTTCAATGCTATTTCCATTAAACTATCATTGACACTCTTCACAGAATTAAAAAAAAAAAACTTTAAAATTCATACAGAACTAAAAAGAGCCTGTATAGCCAAGACAACACTAAGCAAAATGAACAAAACTGGAGGAATCATGCTACCTGACTCAAACTATACTACAAGGGTACAGTAACCAAAACAGTATGGTACTGGTACAAAAACCAGACACACAGACCAACGGAACAGAATAGAGATCCCAGAAACAAGACCGCACATCTAAAACCATTTGATCTTCAACAAACCTGACAAAAACAAGCAATGGGGAAAGGATTCCCTATTTAATAAATGGTGCTGGGATAGCTGGCTAGCCATTTTTAGAAAATTGAAACTGGACCCCTTCCTTAAACCTTATTAAAAAACACCTCAAGATGGATTACAGACTTAAAAGTAAAACCCATAACTATACAAACCCTAGAAGAAATTCTAGGCAATACCATTCAAGACATAGGCACAGGCAAAGATTTCATGGCAAAAACAACAAAAGCAATTGCAACAAAAGCAAAAATTGACAAATGGGATCGATTTAAACTAAAGAGCTTCTGCACAGCAAAATAAACTATCATCAGAGTGAACAGACAATCTACAGAATGGGAGAAAATGTTTGCAATCTACCCATCTAACAAAGGTCTAATATCCAGAATCCACAAGAAACTTAAACAAATTTACAAGAGAAAAAAAAGCGACCAATTAAAATTGAGCAAAGGACACGAACAGAACCTTCTCAAAAGAAGACATATATGCAGCCAAAAAACATATGAAAAAAAGCTCAACATCAGTGATCATTAGAGAAATGCAAATCAGAACCACAATGAGATACTATCTCCTGCCAGTAAGAATGACGATTATTAAAAAGTCAATAAACAACAGATGCTGGCAAGGCTGCATTTTTCTATGTTTTATTTTACCTCTGGCTGAGATATCTATTTTTTAACCGATAAATAAAAATTATATATATTTATGGTATATATGATGATTTCTTAAAGATGAATTTTCGGGTTTGGTTCTGGGTTTTCTGGAAATTTTTCTCTAATCAAATTAAAGACATTACAGACTCTCTTTCAAGTGATAAACAGGGCACTCTGTCCACAGCATGATGTGTCAATAGAGATATGCAAAATTTGACCATTGGATACTTCTAATTAAATACTTATAAAGGCAAGGTTCTGGGTTATCATGCATTTGACAGCTTAGGACATTTTTGTGAAACTAATGCATATAATGATATTGACAGGCTACTGCTAACTACATTGGAGAAAGTAGGACAAGAAAAAAGAAGTTTCATTAAATTTATTTTCCAATTACAGTATGAATGGGGAGATATACATGCTTATGAATATGTATATAGTGACTGATGTAGATAAAGTCTTACATACTTATAGATCTATATTTACTTATTTATTGAGTCATGATTTAAGGTATATTTCTCACTGGAGATCATAACCAAAAAGTTTGAAGGTAATTATTATAATGGGTTGAAAATAAATGACTCAAGTTAAGGCTACTTTACATTATTTCGGACTGTGTGTGTGTGAAGGGTGTAACAAGCTAAAGAACATTTGGGACCTGGAGTTTTCTGACTCCCTCCCTTCTATGTCAAGAATACTGAGCTGAGACTTTATTTCAGGTTAATTTTGAAAAATAATAGCACTGTGTACAACATATCTAACACAGAATAAGTGCTTGTAATGGTAGCAGCCCAAAGGATAAATAGTAAAGTATATTTCAATTATTTTGCCTTATTTATCCATAGATAGTCTCCTGTAGTATCACTTGCCTGATTTAACAATCCAATATAAAATCTGCTTATTAATCAAGTACATTAAAAATGAATCACTAGTTTGTTATATATATGAAGTCCATTGGCATAATTCAGGGAAATATCAGTCTATGACTCTTTGTGTTTGACAAATAGATATGGTATCTGAGTTGAAAAAATATACTTTAAATTATGAATGTATAATATTTACAGTTCCTTTAGGCAGAAACATTTGTTTCTCGAGTGTAATGGCTTTCAAACTGTTCTTTAAAAAGGCTTAGGGGGTCCCAAGAGTTACTTGGTGCTTGAGATGGAGTGGGGGAGAGAACAAATACACACACACACTTATTTCACTCAGAAAAGCTTTACTTAACAAATATTTCATACTGGGCTTATATCATATGTTGTTCAAATAAACAACTCTTTTTGGTGTTTTCTAAGACACTAGTCATAACCAGGGTTGATTAGCACTGAAAACAGAAATGCACGTTTTTCAAGAAAATCTTGAAGTGTGCACTTCATAGTAATTTTCCTGTTACTTCAGAAAATTTCTCTTTCAAGATGACCTTAAAAGACATATAGTAGAAATACCACTGGATTGAGTAAGAAGCACCAGAATTATTCTTCCTTTGCATGTTACAAGTTTTGAGTCCTGGGGTATCATTTGATTTTTCTGTATTTCAGTTTCCTTGTTGGTAAAATGAGATTGTCTAGACTAGATTGAAGTAGCAAATAGGTTTTAACTCCTGTGCCAGATCTAATGATTGGTAGCATCTTCCTAAAGTAATGTGTTCAGAAGAATTCTGAGACTCCATAGGAAAGATCACTATAATCATTTAAACAGTATCTGGCACGGACAAGGGAATAAGTGTGGAAGCTTTTATGTAAGACATTTTGTATCCCTGGGCCAAATGATCTCTTAAATTCCTTTCCAATTCCAAACAATGTAACATAAATATAAAAAAACAAGGAACACATCAAATAAATGTAAAGCACATTAATAAATGACAAAAAACATTCACTACTATAAGAATAGCACCAAGCCTTTCACGAGGAATCCTCCTCCATTTCCCAAACACCTTTCACTAGGCCCCTCCTCCCAACACTGCCACACTGGGGACCAAATTTCAAGGTGTTGTGGTGGGACCAAAGCAATCATCCAAATGCTATCCAAACCAAAGCATTCTTCCCCTCCCCCTCAACTCATATTCTTCTCACATACGTCATTTCATCTCAGTAGTCTCAAAAGTCTTAACTTGTCCCAGCATTAACTCTAAAGTCCAAAATCCAGTCTCATTGAAGACTCAGGCAAGTTCCTTTCAGCTATGAGCCTATAAAATAAAAAGCAAGTTATTTACTTCCAAGATATAATGGTGGGACAGATATTTGGTAGACTTTCCCATTCCAAAAGGGAGAAATAGGCCAAAAAAAAAAAAAAAATAAGCCCCATGTAAATCTGAAACCCAGCAGGGCAGACATGCAGAATTAAATCCTTTTTTTTTTCTTTTTTTGAGACAGAGTCTTGCTCTGTCACCCAGACTGGAGTGCAGTGGCACGATCATGGCTCACTGCAGCCTCAATCTCCTGGACCCTACTGACCCTCCTACCTCAGCATCTTAAGTAGCTAGGATCACAGGTGTGTGCCACCATGCCAGGCTAATTTGTTTTACTTTTCACAGAGACAGGGTCTCCCTATGTTGCCCAGGAAGGTCTTGAACTCCTGGGCGCATGTGACCCTATTGCCTTGGCCTTTCTAACTGCTGGGATTATATTACATCTTAAAGCTCCAGAACAATCTCCTTTGACATCGATGTCCTACATCTTGGGCACACTGGTGTGAGGGGTGGGCTCCCAAGACCCTCGGAAGACCTGCCCACATAGGTTTCCAGGATGTAGCCCACGTGGCTGCTCTCACAAGTTGGAGTTGAATGCCTGTGACTTTTCCTAGCTGGTATTGCACACTGCCTGTGGCTCTACTATTCTGGGGGCCCAGTGGTGGCTCTGCCCCTATGGCTCCACTAGGTAGTGCCCTAGTAGTGATTTCCTGCGGTGGCTCCACCCTGTAGCAAGTTTCTGGATGGGCTCCCAGGCTTTCAGATATATCCTCTGAAATCTAGGTGGAAGCCACCTAGCCTCCATGACTCTTGTATTCTAGGCACTTGTAGACTTAGTACCATATGGAAACCATCAAGACTTACTACTTTGGCCCTCTGGAGCAGTGGTCTGAGCCATACCTGAGGCTGTTAAAGTGATGACTGATCTACCCAGATGGGTTGAGATTTGGGGAGCAGCATCCTGAGTTGATGTAAGGCAGTAGTGCCCCAGGTTCATCCTAGAAAACCATTCTGCCCTTCCAGGCCTCTGGGCTTGTGTTGGAAAGGACAGCCATGAAGATCTTCAAATGCCGGTGTAGCCTTCTAATTGTTTTGACTATTTGCACCTGTCTCCCTTTTAGCCCTGCTAACTTCTTTAGCAATCCGTTGCTCAGCCAGTCTTGATTCCTCTCCTTAAAATTCCCTTTTATTCTCTACCACAAGGCCAGGCTATGAAATTTCCAAATTTTTATGATCTGCTTCATTTTTAATTATAAATTCTGGCTCTTAGGTCATTCCTTTGATGCCTTAACTAATCATAAGCTATTAAAAGTAACCACACTAATTCTTGAGCACTTTGCTGCTTAGAAATTTCTTCCATCAGACATGCTAGGTCATTATTCTTAGGTTTGGCCTTCCACAAAGCTGTAGAGCATAGACATAATGCAGCCAAATTCTTTGCAACTTTATAACAAGAGTGACCTTTGTTCTACTTTTCAAATAAATACTCATTTTCATCTGAAATCTCATCAGAATATCCTTTACTGTCTAATTTTAGTCACTACCACTTACCCAATCTCTAAAAAGTTGCAAACTTTCCCTCATTTTTTTAGTCTTCTTTTGAGTACTTACCAAAAGCACCCTAATGCTCCCATTGCTGCAATACCATCTCCTTCTAGCCTGCTCTTTCAAACTCTTCCAACTTCTGCCCTTTACCCAGTTCAAAGCCACTTCCCCATTTGCAGGTATCTTTATAGTAACAATCCACTCCTTGGTACCAATTTTATGCCTTAGTCAATTTAGTGTTGCTGTAACAGAATACCTGAGGCTGAGTAATATATAATGAAAAGAGGTTTATTTACTTCACAGTTCCGCATGATGGGAAGTTCAAGGGCATAGCTCTGGCTTCTGATGAGGGATTTCATACTACGTGGTCATAACGTGGCAGAGAAGGTCAAAGGGGAAATAGACACGTACAAAGAGGCAAAACCCAAAGGGCATTATGGCTTTATTAACAGCCCACTTTTGAGGTAATGAACTCATTTCCATGAGAACTAAACTAATCCATTACCATAAGAAATAATTCAATCTCACCAGAGAGAAAACTCATTGACTACTGTCAGAATGGCACTAAGCCCTTCATGATGGGTCATCCCTCATGATCCAAACACCTCTCACTAGTCACCATTTCTCAACACTGCCACATTGGAGGCCAAATTTCAAGATCAGTTTTGGTAGGAACAAACAAACCATATCCAAACCACAGCAATCAGTTTCTAAAAGTAGGCATAATGTGTTGTTCATAATAGTATTCTCATTCTCTAACAAAGTGCCTGCTACATAGTATACAATTAAAAATATGGGTCAAATCAGTGAATAATTATAATTACTATTGACAGTAGCACTTTACAACTTAAACATTACAAAATGTAGAGAATTTGATTTTAAGACTGAGTTTTTTGATGACCCAGAATGTCTTCTGCCTTAATTATACATTCCCAAAGCATAGCATCGTGGCAGATACATTGTAGGAAACAACAAAAAAAAAGTAGAATTGAGTTGAAATGTCCATTGGCCATTAACCATGTAGACTGTTGTCCCATTTGCTGAGGAGTCAGTCATTAAACCAGATGTTAATTTGTGTTTTTCCCACCTCCACTCCAAGCTAGTTATTATAAATTTAATAAACACATGCTTCCCCAAATCTTCTGCTTAACACTTTACTAACACTTAGAGAGATGTGAAATAGAGAAATGTGATCTGTATATATTTCCAATATATATAGTAAAAAAACTGAAAGGAAATAAAACTATCCACTATTTCGTTCAAGTATCATCAACATAAACAAACCTGTTTGATTATTTTAACTGACTTCACCTCTTCAAGCCAGTCCAGAAACTGTCAGTCCAATTCTTCATTTGACTTATTTTTATTGATGGAGCTGATAAAACCAATATAAGTATCAAAATGCTTTGTGAATAAAGAGTTAGATTAAAATTATACAAGATAAACAGTTGAGGTAAAATCTGTACCTTCTCTGATTTGTTTATCTAAGTTACTTGTTTGTAGTATTTGCCTTAAAATTCTATTTCAAAGTTTAGACTTCCTGCTGCCACAGAAACTGCAGCATTCAGTAAGACCAGGATGTAATTTTTAAATTCAAGTAAATAAAAAAAGTGTTTGTGCCCAAGAATTTGACTTTATAGTCAGTGTTCAGGAATGTATTTATTTTATATATGGTCATCTAAAGAGAATTTAGGGGTAGAGAGAAGCAGGGAAAATGGTTCCGTTCAGCCTCACTTTAAGAGGAATGGCAGTGAGTGGCAAAAACACAGATTTTAGAGTTATTAATATTTAGAGAACTGCTATTTCCCAGCTGTGTAACCCTGGAAAGGTTACATAATTTCAGTTTCTCCATCAAAAATGTAGAGATAATAATATCTACAGTATTAGCCAAGGTTCTCCAGATAAACAGATAGATATGTAAATAACTACATATATATAAATCTCTCTCTCTATATATATAAATATCAATATCTATATATCTATGGGTATAGATATATAGGAACAGATAGCTATATTTATGTTCATACATGTTCTATATGCATATCTATGTTCATATAGATATCTATACATCTATAAAGACATGCATCTATGTATCTATGTATATTGATCAATGTCTACATATCAACAAAGATATATATTTATGTAGATATACATAGATATGTATATATTTCTATCTGTATTAAATATATATGTCTATGTATACATATATAGCAAGAGAGAAAGGAAAGAGAGATTCATGTAAGAAATTAATTTAAAAGATACATTTTAAGGAACTGGCTTACACAATTGTGGAGGCTGGCAAGTTTGAAATCTGCAGAGCAAGCTGGCTGGCTGAAAATTCCAGAGTTTACGTTGTAGTCTTGAGTCTGCAAGCAGTCTGGAAGCAGAGTTGCTGCTTCCTCAGTGGGCCTCAACCTTTTTCTCTTAAGGCTTTCACATGATTGAATGAGGTCTGCTCACCTTTATGAAGGGTAATCTGTTTTACAAAGTATATTAATTTAAATGTTAATCATACCTAAAGAACACCTTTACAGGAACGTCTGGACTGGTGTCCAAACTACTAGGCATCATAGTCTAGCTGGCACGTAAAATTAACCCTCGTACCTACTTTTCAGGGCTATTGTGAAGATTAAGTGAAATTATATATGCAGAGTACCTAGCAGAGTGCCCAGAGTAGATGCACAACTTTCATGATGCCCAGTCACAATAACACAATTGGGACTTGGATAAAAAAAGGGAGAAGAGAAAGGTGTTCTATACAAGTTCTATAGCCATTGTACTTTACTCAAAAGTAGGAGAAGGAAAATGAAAGTGCTAAAAACATGTGCCCATTACTGTCTCTCTGCCCCTTCCAATACATTACTCGAGTAGTAGTACAAATTAAAAGCTCAAAGATTTTTAAAATCTCAGTCAGTTAAATGATTTTGTATGTCAAAGCTTTTAAATTTGTACAGGAAATAAGATTTACTTTATTGTAAAAGGCAACCATGCTGAGCTTTTGTAATGGAAGAGTGAGGAACATGGCAGTCTTTGATACAACAAAACAATTCAACAAAGAAAATTATTTAAAACACAAGTTAAATTTCTGGAAGTTTTCCCTAAGGGCATAGAGCAGTACTGTCATAAGGAAATGACAGAAGATGGTAACTCAGTTCCACAGAAATAAATGAAGAGAGCCAAAAGGGTAAAGAAGAATATACATATTATAAAAACTCTATATTTGTGTTCTGCTCTATTCTCATAGTCTCTTTAAAAGACATACTATATAATGTTATAATTAAAACAATGTACTTATGGATTTGTAATATATATAGATGCCATACGTATAATTATAATAGCATGAAAATGGCAAAAGGGGATAGAGTTTATAGGAGTAAATATCTATACTTCACTGAAATTAAGTTAATACAAATCTGAAGGAAATTTTGATAAATTAAAATGTGTATTGTAAGCCCTAGACAGAAACTCTAAGAAAATAACTAAAAATACAATTTTAAAATAATCAACAGAATTAAAAGCTTACACTAAAAATATATTCAATTAACTTAAAAGAATACAGTAAAAAAGGAACAAAAATGACATGAGACAGAAAACGAAAAGCAAAATCACAGATGTCAATCCAACTATATCAATAATAACATTAATGTCACCAGATTGAACAATCCAATCTAAAAGCAGATAACATCACAAAAAAAAAACGACATCCAATTTTATACTTTCTATGACACACACACTAAATTCAAAGATAATAACTGGTTGAAAGCGAAAGGATGAAAAACAACAATAAGATGAATGACTATACTTATACCACAGAAGATAGATTTTAAACTAACAATAAAAGTTATTTATAGAGAAAGAAGGACATTTTATAATGAAGAAAGAGTCAATTCATCAAGAAGATACAACAATTATAAAAACTATATCATTGAAAGCCTTTCCTCTAAGATCGGGAATAAGACAAGGACGCCCACTTTCACAACTGTTATTCAACACAGTACTGGGAGTCCTAGCTTGAGAAATCAGACAAGATAAACAAATAAAAGGCATTTAAATTGGAAATAAAGAAGTCATATTATCCTTGTTTGCAGTTAATATGATCTTAAATTTGGAAAAACCTAAAGATTCCACCAAAAAAAACTATTAGAACTGATGAACAAATTCAGTAAAGTGGCAGAATACAAAATCAACATGCAAAAATCAGTATCATTTCTATATGCCAACAGCAAACAATCTGAAAAAAGAAATTTAAAGTAATCTCATTTACAATAGCTACAAATAAAATAAAGTACATAGTAATAAAATTAACCAAAGTGAAAGACCTCTGTGATGAAAACTATAAAACATTGATGCAAGACATTGAAGAGGACACACACAAAAAATGGAAAGATATTCCATGTCATAGATTGGAAGAATCAATATTGTTAAAATGCCCATACTACCCAAAGCAATCTACAGACTCAATACTAACCCTATCAAAATACCAATGACATCCCTCACAGAAGCAGAAATAAAACCCTAAAATTTATATGGAAGCATAAAAGACTCAGAATTCCCAAAGCTATGCTGAGCAAAAAGAGGAAAACTGGAGGAATCAAATTACCTAACTTCAAATTACAAAGCTATAGTAACCAAAACAGTGTAGTACTGGCATAAAAACAGACACATAAAACAATGGAGCAGATTGGACAACCCAGAAATGAATCCATACAACTAAAGTGAACTCATTTTTTTTCATTATTTAGATCATATTTGTTCGTATAATGAAACTCATGTAGATAAGATCTCACATACTTAATACAGTGAATTACCCCCATACAATGGAAAAAATTATATTTAATGTTCCTAGATCAATATGACTGTTAATTTCTGCACAATGCCAACTCAACACGATAAAATGTAATACATTTTCCAAAGCTGAGAGCACAGCTAAACTTTCAAAAAATACAAATATATATATATAATATACAAATATAGATTTATAGATCAATAATAACTGTTATGCATAGTAGCAGCAACAGCTTTTCCAGGTTCTGTAATCATCTGAACACAATTATAGAGACATCTAGCAAACCCCATTTAAAAAGGGAGAAAAGGTAAAAAACAAAACCCCAGAAAATAGCAATGTTCTGTTTTTCTTGTGGTACTTGGCACTATTTTTTAAATTAGCTTCTGAATCATCATCTGGAAAAAAAATTCTGGAATAATATCACTAAACACAGATCTGATGAAGCACTGTCACTACTATGTATCATAAAGCAGGAACAAGATATTTCACATTCACAGAGGTATCATACAGTACTCTCCTACATCTATAATACTACAGGATACAATTAAAAAGGCATTATTTGAGGCTTGACTCTACCTTTCCAGCAGAGAGCCCAAAGGATGGTATGACAGCTCGGTAAAGAAAGAGGAAGTCAAATTGTCCCTGTTTGCAGATGACATGATTGTATATCTAGAAAACCCCATTGTCTCAGCCCAAGATCTCCTTAAGCCGATAAGCAACTTCAGGAAAGTCTCAGGATACAAAATAAATATGCAAAAATCACAAGCATTCTTATACACCAATAACAGACAAACAGAGAGCCAAATCATGAGTGAACTCCCATTCACAATTGCTTCAAAGAGAATAAAATACCTAGGAATCCAACTTACAAGGGATGTGAAGGACCTCTTCAAGGAGAACTACAAACCACTGCTCAATGAAATAAAAGAGGACACAAATGGAAAAACATTCCATGCTCATGGATAGGAAGAATCAATGTCGTGAAAATGGCCATACTGCCCAAGGTAGTTTATAGATTCAATGTCATCCCCATCAAGCTACCAATAACTTTCTTCACAGAATTGGAAAAAACTACTTTAAAGTTCATATGGAACCAAAAAAGAGCCCTCATTGCCAAGTCAATCCTAAGCCAAAAGAACAAAGCGGGAGGCATCATGCTACCTGACTTCAAACTATACTACACGGCTACAGTAACCAAAACAGCTCAGTACTGGTACCAAAACAGAGATATAGACCAATGGAACAGAACAGAGCCCTCAGAAATAATACCACACATCTACAACCATCTGATCTTTGACAAACCTGACAAAAACAAGAAATGGGGAAAGGATTCCCTATTTAATAAATGGTGCTGGGAAAACTGCCTAGCCATATGTAGAAAGCTGAAACTGGATCGTTTTTTTACACCTTATGCAAAAATTAATTCAAGATGGATTAAAGACTTAAATGTTAGACCTAAAACCATAAAATCCCTAGAAGAAAACCTAGGCAATACCATTCAGGACATAGACATGGGCAAGGACTTCATGTCTAAAACACTGAAAGCAATGGCAACAAAAGCCAAAATTGACAAATGGGATCTAATGAAACTAAAGAGCTTCTGCACAGCAAAAGAAACCACCATCAGAGTGAACAGGCAACCTACAGAATGGGAGAAAATTTTTGCAATCTACTCAGCTGACAAAGGGCTAATATCCAGAATCTACAAAGAACTCAAACAAATTTACAAGAAAAAAACAAACAACCCCATCAAAAAGTGGGTGAAGGTCATGAACAGACACTTCTCAAAAGAAGACATTTATGTAGCCAACAGACACATGAAAAAATGCTCATCATCACCGGCCATCAGAGAAATACAAATCAAAACCACAATGAGATACCATCTCACACCAGTTAGAATGGCGATCATTAAAAAGTCAGGAAACAACAGGTGCTGGAGAGGATGTAGAGAAATAGGAACACTTTTACACTGTTGGTGGGATTGTAAACTAGTTCAACCATTGTGGAAGACAGTGTGGTTATTCCTCAAGGATCTAGAACTAGAAATACCATTGGACCCAGCCATCCCAGTACTGGGTATATACCCAAAGGATTATAAATCATGCTGCTATAAAGACATGTGCACATGTATGTTTATTGTGGCACTATTCACAATAGCAAAGACTTGGAACCAACCCAAATGTCCAACAATGACAGACTGGATTAAGAAAACGTGGCACATATACACCATGGAATACTATGCAGCTATAAAAAAAGATGAGTTCATGTCCTTTGTAGGGACATGGATGAAGCTGGAAACCATCATTCTCAGCAAACTATTGCAAGGACAGAAAACCAAACACCACAAGTTCTCACTCATAGGTGGGAATTGAACAGTGAGAACACTTGGACACAGGAAGGGGAACATCACACACCAGGGCCTGTTGTGGGGTGGGGGGAGGGGGGAGGGATACCATTAGGAGATATACCTAATGTAAATGACGAGTTAATGGGTGCAGCACACCAACATGGCACATGTATACATATGTAAGAAACCTGCACAATGTGCACATGTACCCTAGAACTTAAAGTATAATAAAAAAAAGAAAGGTACCTTCTTAGACAGCATTTCCTTTCATTAGCTGCACAGTTCTAGTACTCACTATTCTTCATAAACATCAGCTAAAAACTGTTAAAAAAAAAAGAAACAGAGAAAAACAAAACCATTGGATTCATACAAAGATCATAGAATGGAGACAAGCAAGACACAATCTAAATAGTATTTTATCCAATCTGTTGTGTTTAACTGGTCAGAGCTCCGTAGAAGAAAGGAGATTTCAAGTAGCACCTCAAAGCTCTGAAGCACAACCAAAACACAGCATCATTTCAGACCGAAGCAGTAACCAAACATTCCTACTTTGATATGGTTCAAGGATGCTATCATCAATATTGAATCATCTGCTCACTTATCCAGGAAGAAGGGGGGCTTAGTTACTACTGTACTATGATTGTGCTCAATCAACACGTTACAAAAATCAAGCTGCCATAATAATAATAATAAAGGCTCCTATACACAGGACCAATTATCTTCAGTTCTTCACCTCCAAGCATCCAGTGTTTACTTCCACATGTGCTCAATGTTTAGCTAAGACATATAAGTGAAATATGTGGTATTTGGTTTTCTGTTCCTCCATTAGTTCACTTAGGATTGTGGCCTTCAGCTCCATCCATGTTGCCACAAGGGAAGTGATTTCATTCTATTTTATGGCTGCATAGTATTTTATGGTGTATATGTACCACATTTTCTTTATTCAGTCCGAAATTGATAGGCTTCTAGGTTGATTCCATGTCTTTGCCTTTGTAAATGGTATGACAATGAACATAGAAGTAAATGCATCTTTTTAGTATAGTGACCTATTTTCCTTTGGGTTTATACCCAATAATGGGATTGCTGGGTTACATGGTAGATATGTTTTAAGTTCTGTGAGAACTCTCCAAACTGCCTTCCACAGTGGATGAATTAATTTACATTTCTACAACCAACAGTGTCTAAGTGGTGAACTCATTTTCGAGAAAGGTGCCAAAAATGTACAGTCTTTTCAATAAACAGTGCTGGGAAAGCTGAATTTCCATATACAGAAGGGTGAAACTAGACCCCTACCTCTCACTATATACAAAAATCAAATTAAAATGTATTAAAGAATTAAATAAATCTAAAACCTCAACTTATGAAACTACTAAAAGTAAACATTGGGGAAACTCTCCAGGACATTCTGGAGTGGGGAAAAATTTCTTGAGTAATACTGCCACAAGCGCAGGCAACGTAAGAAAAAATTGACAAATTGGATCACATTGAGTTAAAAAGTTTCTGCACAGCAAAGGAAGCAATCATCAAAATTACGAGACAAACCACAGAATGGGAAAAAAAAAAAAAAACCCTGCAAACTCTCCATCTCAGAAGGAATCAATAATCAAAATACATAAGAAACTCAAACAACAATATAGGAAAAAATCTCATAATCCAATTAAAAATTGGGCAAAATATTTGCATAGACATTTCTCAAAAGAAGACATACAAATGGCAAACAGGCATATGAAGAGGTGCTCAACATCACTGATCAACCAAGAAATGCAAATCAAAACTAACTACAATGAGATATCACCTAACCCCAGTTAAAATGACTTTCATCCAAATGTCAGGCAATAACAAATTCTGGCAAGATCGTGGAGAAAAGGGAATCCTTGCACACTGTTGGTGGGAATGTAAATTAGTACTAGCACTATGGAGAACAGTTTGCAGGTTCCTCAAAAGACTAAAAATAGAACTAGCACATGACCCAATAGTCCCACTGTTAGGTCTATACCCAAAAGAGAGCAAGTCAGTATACCAAAGAGATAACTGCACTCCCATGCTTATTACAGCACTATTCACATAGACAAGATTTGCAAGCAACCCAAGTGTCCATCAACAACGAAAGGATAAAGTAAATGTGACACAAATACACAATGGAGTACTATTCAGCCATAAAAGAATGAGATCCTATTATTTGCAGCAACATGGATGGAAATGGAGGACATCACATGAAATAAGCCAGACACAGAAAGATAAACTTCACTTGTTCTCACTTATTTGTGGGAGCTAAACTTTAGAACAACTGAACTCATGGAGACAGAGAGTAGAATGATGGTTACAAGAGGTTGGAAATAGTAGTGGAGGGGGGACTTAGGGATGGTTAATGGGTACAAAAATATAATTAGATAGAATGAATAAGATGTAGTATGTGATAGTACAAGAGGGTGACTACAGTCAACAATAATTTAGTGCACATTTAAAAATAAAAGAGTATAACTGGATTGTCTGTAACAAAAGAAATAAAAGCTTGAGGTGATTGATACCCTATCTACTGATGTGATTATTAAACATTGTATGTCCATATCAAAGTCTCATGTATCCCATAAATATATACACCAACTATATACCCGAAAAAATAAAAATTAAAAAAATGCACCTAATAAAAGAGCCCCACAGTAAATGAAGAAAACAGACTGAATTAAAGTGACAAGTGGCCAACTGAACAATAATAGTTGATGGCTTCAATACCCCATTTTCAATTAGTCATCTTTAGAATGCTCCAGCCACTATCAGAGTACTCATTCTTCTCAAGTGTACACAAAATATTCTGCATGATAGATCACATATTAGGCAATAAAACAAGAATCAGTAAATTTAAACAGACTGGATTCATATGAAATAGGCTATCCAACCACAGTGAAAAGAAATTAGAAAACAAGAACAGAACAAAATTTAGGAAATTCACAAGAAGTAGAAATTTAAAAACACATTCCTGGAGACTCATGGCAGATGGGAGGCAGGACTAGATTGCAGCTCCCACTCAGACAGACAGAGCAGTGTGTGGAGGCTTACATCATAAACTTTTGCTCCATAACAACTGCAGAAATACATTAGTAAAGGCAAGAGAACCCACAGGCCCTCTGAAGAAAGCAGACTGTTCCTGCAGGAATAGGGAGACACCCCAAATACTGGGAAACCTGAAGGTCTATGTTACAGAGATTCTGACCTTACTTGGAGCTGAGTCAATTTAGAGAGCCAAGAGAAATACAGGGTAGAGAAAGGAGTGGGAAAATGCCTGTGGGCTCACTGGGTTCCCTAGAAGCCATTTCTGCCCTGCCTCAGAAGGGTCCTTAGGGAGGGCAGTCAGAGGCACTGGGAAAAGGGCACAGGGAGAAGGAAACCTCTAGCTCAACACTGTTAACAATTTGAACTGATTGAGAAGTCTCCTGGCCAGAACTCAGGGGAGGGCGTGAATCTGGTGTGCAGACTCCACAGGCAGGAGAAGAATGAAAGCCTTAATTGCTTTCGCAACTGGAAGGTGAGTAGTCTGAGGCAAGTTCTCAGCCCTGCTGGCTCAGTGCCTGGAAACAAACTCCGTGTTGTTGGGGGGTGCACGGTGAGAGTGAGACTGGCCCTTTGGGTTGAGTGGGGGCTGGGTGAGGCCTGTGACTGACAGCTTTCCCCCACTTCCCTGACAACATGCATGACAAAGTAAAGGCAGCCGTAATCTTCCTAGGAACATAACTCCATTGATCTGGGAACTTCACCCCCATCACCCACAGCAGCCACAAGAAGACCTGCCCAAGGAGAGTCTCAGCTCGAACATGCCTAGCCCTGTCCCCACCTTATGGTACTTTCTTACCCACCTTGGTAAATGAAGACAAAAGGCATATACTCTTAGGAGTTCTAGGGCCCCACCCACCACATGTTCCTCCCCATACTACTACAGCTGATGCTCTCTTGAAAGTGCCACTTTCCAACAAGAGACCAACCAGCACAAAAATAGTGCAGTAAGCAACCAAAGCTAAGGACTCTCAGAGTCCATCTTGCCCCCCTGTCACCTCCACCGGAATAGGTGCTGGTATCCAGGGCTGAGAGACCCACAGAGAGTTCACATCACAGGACTCTGTGCAGACAAGCCCTAGTACCAACCCAGAGCCTGGTATACTCACTGGGTGGCTAGATCTAGAAGAGAGATAACAATCACTACAGCTTGGCTCCCAGAAAGCCACATCCCTTGGAAAATGGGGAGAATACTACATGAAGGGAACACCCTGTAGGACAAAAGAATCTGAACAACAGCCTTCAGGCCTAGACCTTCCCTCAGACAGTCTACCCAAATGAGAAGGAACCAAAACACCAACTCTGGTAACGTGACTAAACAAGTTTCTTTAACACTACCAAAAAAAATTGCACTAGCTCACCAGCAATGGATCCAAACCATGAAGAAATCCCTGATTTCCCTGAAAAAGAATTTAGAAGGTTAGTTATTAAGCTAATCAGGGAGCCACCAGAAAAAGGTGAAGCCCAATAAAAGGAAATTAAAAACAAACAAACAAACAAGAAGTGAAGGGAGAAATATTCAATGAGATAGCATAAATAAAAAAATCAAAATGTCAGGAAACAATGCACACACTTATTGAAATGCAAAATGCTCTGGAAAGTCTCAGCAATAGAATTCAACAAGCAGAAGAACTTCAGAGGTCGAAGACAAGGTCTTTGAATTAACCAAATCCAACAAAGAAAAAAAAATATGAACAAAGCCTCCAAGAAGTCTGAGATTATGTTGAATGACCAAACTTAAGAAAAAATTGCCATTCTTGAGAAAGAAGAGAAATCTAAAAGTTTGGAAAACATATTTGGGGGAATAATAGAGGAAAACTTCCCCAGCCTTGCTAGAAACCTAGACATATAAATACAAGAAGCACAAAGAATACCTGGGAAATTTATCGCAAAAAAATCATCACCTAGGCACATGGTCATCAGGATATCTAAAGATAAGATTAAAGAAAGAATATTAAGAGCTATCAGGCAAAAGCACCAGGTAACCTATAAAATCTATCAGATTAACAGCAGATTTCTCCGCAGAAACCCTACAAGCTAGAAGGAATTGGGGCCTTATCTTCAGCCTCCTTAAGCAAAACAATTATCAGCCAAGTATTTTGTATCCAGCAAAACTAAGATTCATAAATGAAAGAAAGAAAAAGTCTTTTTCAGACAAACAAATGCTGAGAAAATTTGCCATTAACAAGCAGGTACTACAAGAATTGCTTTAAAAGGAGCTCTAAATCATGAAACAAATCCTGGAAACACATCAAAAAAGGACATTTTAAAAGCATAAATCTCACAAAACCTATAAAGCAAAAATACAACTTAAAACAAAAAAATAAAAAACCAAGGTATACAGGCTACAAATAGCACAATGAATGGAATGGTACCTCACATCTCAATACTAATATTGAATGTAAATGGCCTAAATGCTCCACTTAAAATGTACAGAATTGCAGAATGGATAGGAACTCACCAACCATCTGCTGCCTTCACGAGACTCACCTAACATATAAGGTATCATATACATTTAAGGTAAAAAGGTAGAAACTGACATTCCATGTAAACGGACACAAAAAGTGAGCAGAAGTAGCTATTCTTATATCAGGCAAAACAAAATTTAAAGCAACAGCAGTTAAAAAAGGAAAAGTCGGACATAACATAATGATAAAAGGCCTTGCCCAACAGGAAACTATCACAATCCTACACACATATGCACCTAACACTGGAGCTCCCAAATTTATAAAACAATTACTAATAGACCTAAGAAATGAGATAGACAGTAAGACAGTAATAATAGTGGGGGACTTCAATACTCCACTGACAGCAATAGACAAGTCATCAAGACAGAAAGGCAACAAAAACAAAAAAAAAAACGGATTTAAACTATACACTGAAACAAATAGACTTAACAAATATATACACTACATTCTATCTAACAACTGGACAATATACATTCTGTTCAATAGTGCATGGAAACTTCTCCAAGATAGACCATATGATAGGCCACAAAATGAGCCTCAGTAGATAAAAGAAAATTGAAATTATATCAAGCACTCTCTCAAACCACAGTGAAATAAAACTGGAAATCAACTCAAAAAGGAACCTTCGAAACCATGAAAATACATGGAAATTAAATAACCTGCTCCTGAATAATTATTGGGTCAAAAATGAAATCATGATGGAAATTACAAAATTCTTTGAACTGAATGATAATAGTGAAATAACCTATCAAAATCTCTGTGATACAGCAAAGGTGGTGCTAAAAGGTAAGTTCATAGCCCTAAATGCTTACATCAAAAAGTCTAAAAGAGCATAAACAGAATCCTAAGGAATTTAGATTCTCAAGGAATCTAGAGGACACCTCCAGGAACTGGAGAAACAAGAACAAACCAAATTCAAACCCAGCAGAAAAGAAATAACAAAGATCAGAGCAGAGCTAAATGAAACTGAAAAAAAAAAAAAAACCGCAAAAGATAAATGAAACAAAAAGCTGGTTCTTGGAAAAGATAAATAAAATTTATAGACCATTAGCAAGATTAACCAAGAAAAGAAGAGAGAAAATCCAAATAAGCTCAATTAGAAATGAAACAAGAGATATTACAAATGACACCACAGAAATACAAAAGTCCATTCAAGGCTACTATGAACACCTTTATGCACATGAACTAGAAAACCTACAGGAGATGGAAAAATTGCTGGAACGACACAACCTTCCTAGCTTAAATCAGGAAGAAACAGACACTCTGAAAACACCAATAACAAGCAGCAAGATTGAAATGGTAATTACAAAATTACCAAAAAAAAAAAAAACAAAAAAAAAGGCCAGGACCAGAAAGATTCACAGCAGAATTCTACCAGACATTTGAAGAAGAACTGGTACCAATCCTATTGACACTATTCCACAGGATAGAGAGAAAACCCTCCCTAAATCATTTTATGAAGTCAGTATCACCCTAATACAGAAATCGGGAAAAGGCATAACCAAAAACAAACAAACAAACAAACAAAACAAAACAAAAAAACAACTGCAGACCAATATCCTTGATTAACGTACATGGTAAAATCCTAAAGAAAAAAACTAGGTAAACGAATCCAATAACATATCAAAAAGTTAACACATCATGATCAAGTGGATGTCATACCAGGGATGCAGGGACAGTTTAACATACACAAGTCAATAAATGTGATACCCCACATAAACAGAATTAAAAACAAAAATCACATGATCATATCAACAGATGCAAAAAAAGGATTCAACAAAATCCAGCTTCCTTTATGATTAAAACTCCCAGCAAAATCAGCATATAAGGTACATCAATGTAATAAAAGCCATCTAGGACAAACCCACAGCCAACATAATACTGAATGGGGAAAAGTTGAAAGCATTCCCTCTAAAAACTGGAACAAGACAAGGATGCCCACTCTCACCACTCCTCTTCAACATAGTGCTGGAAGTCCTAGCCAGAACAATCAGACAAGAGAAAGAAATAAAGGGCATCCAAATCAGTAAAGAGAAAGTCAAACTGTTGCTGTTTGCTGATTATATGATTGTTTACCTAGAAAACCCTAAAGACTCTTCCAGAAAGCTCCTGAAACTGATTTTAAAAATTCAGCAAAGTTTCTGGATACAAATTTCATGTACACAAATCAGTAACTCTTCTATACACCAACAGTGACAAAGCTGAGAATCAGATCAAGAACTCAATCCCCTTTACAATAGTTGCAAAAAAATAAAATAAAATACTCAGGAATATACCTAACCAAGGTTGTTAAAGACCTCTACAAGGAAAACTACAAAACCCTGCTGAAAAAAATCATAGATGACAGAAACAAATGAAAACACATCCCATGCTCATGGATGGGTAGAATCAATATTGTGAAAATGACCATACTGCCAAAAGCAATCTACAAATTCATCACAATTCCCATCAAAATACCACCCTCATTCTTCACAGAATTAAAAAAAACACAATCCTACAATTCATATGGAACCAAAGAAGAGCCTGTATAGCCAAAGAAAGACTAAGCAAAAAGAACAAATCTGGAGGCATCACATTACCTGATTTCAAACTATACTATAGAGCCATAGTCACAAAAACAACATGGTACTGGTATAAAAATGGCCACATTGACCAATGGAACAGAAAAGAGAACCCAGAAATAAACCGAAATACTTACAGCCAACTTATCTTTGACAAAGCAAACAAAAAGATAAAGTAGGGCAAGAACACCCCTTTCAACAAATGGTGCTGGGATAATTGGCTAGCCACATGTAGGAGAATGAAACTGGATCCTCATCTCTCATTTTATATAAAAAAAATCAACTCAAGATGGATCAAGGACTTAAATCTAAGACCAGAAACTATAAAAATTCTGGAAGATAACATTGGAAAAACCCTTCTAGAAATTGGCTTAGGCAAGGATTTCATGACCAAGAACCCAAAAGCAAATGCAATAAAAACAAAGATAGATAAATACCTGGGACTTAACTAAAGAGCTTTTGTATGGCAAAAGGAAGAGTCAGTAGAGTAAACAGACAACTCACAGAGTTGAGAAAATCTTCACAATCTATACATCTGAAAAATGACTAATATCCAGAATGCATAATTAACTCAAACAAATCAGAAACAAACAAACAAACAAATGATTCCATCAAAAAGTGGGCTAAGGACATGAATAGACAATTCTCAAAAGAAGATATACAAATGGCCAACAAACATATAAAAAAATGCTCAACATCACTAATGATCAGGGAAATGCAAATCAAAACCACAATGTGATACTACCTGATTCCTGCAAGAATGGCCATCATCAAAAAATAAAAAAAGAAACACAGATGTTGGCATGGATGTGGTGATCAGGGAACACCTCTGTAAACTAGTATAGTCACTATAGAAAACAGTGTGGAAATTCCTTAAAGAACTAACAGTAGAACTACCATTTGATCCAGCAATCCCACTACTGGGTATCTACCCAGGGGAAAATAAGTCATTATACGAAAAAGATACTTGCACATGCATGTTTATAGCAGCACAATTCACAACTGCAAAAACGTGGAACCAACCCAATGCCCATCAATCAACGAGTGAATAAAGAAGCTGTGATTTATATATATATATATATAAAAACATATATATACGTGTATTTTATATATATACACACATATATACATATATACGTATATACGTATATATGTACGTATATACGTATATACATATATACGTATATACGTATATATACGTATATATGTATACTTATATATGTATATACATATAAACATGTATATACATATATACATGTGTATATACGTGTATGTATATACGTGTGTATATACGTGTATGTATATGCGTGTGTATATACGTGTATGTATATGCGTGTGTATATACGTGTACGTATAATGAAATACTATTCAGCCATAAAAAGGAATAAATTCATGGCATTCATAACAACCTGGATGAGACTGGAGACTATTATTCTAAGTGAAGTAACTCAAGAATAAAAAACCAAACTAAATATTCTCACTCATAAGTGAGAGACAAGCTATGAGGATACAAAGGCATAAGAATGACACAGTGGATTTTGAGGACTCAGGGAGAAAGGGTGGGAAGCAGGTGGGAGATAAAAGACCACAAATTGGGTGCAGTGTATACTGCTCAGGTGATGGGTGCACCAAAATCTCACAAATCACTAAAGAAATTACTCATGTAACCAAACACCACCTGTTCCCCAATAACCCATGGAAAAAATTATAATAATTTGAAAACATTAAAAATATAAATAAAAAATAAAAACAAATTCCTAACCAGTGGGTTAAAGAAAAAAATGAGAAAAGACCTTGGTATAAATAAAAGAAACACACACACACACACACACACACACACACACACACACACACACAATATAACAAAACTTATAGGATGTAGTTTAAAAAGTGCTTGGAGGAAAATGTATATTTGTAATATTTTAATTTAATAAATTTTTCAGATCAATACATTCACTCCCACTTTAATGAGAAACTGGAAAATATGAGCAAACTAAACAAAAGCAAGCTAATGATTAGAGGGGAAATCAACAAAATATAAAACAGAAAAACAATAGAGAAAATCAACAAAACCCAAACTTGGTTCTTTGAAAGATAAACAAAAATGACAATCCTTTAGCTAGATAGATCAATAAAAATAGAGAGAACACTAAAATTACTAAAATCAGGAATAAAAAAGCAGACATCACTACTGACTATAGAGAAATATGTAGGATTATAAGGGAATTGTATGAACTAGTATAGTTGGAAAATGTTAAAATCTGTCAAAACTGAGTTAAAAGAAATAGAATACTTAAAAAGGTATGTAATGAGTAAAGATACTGAATTAGTAATCCAATGACTTCCCACATAGGGAAGTCCAGGTTCAGATGGCTTTACTGGTAAACGCTACCAGATATTTAAGAAAAATTAACACCAATCCTTTGAAAATTCTTCCAAAATATGGAAGAGCAGAACAAGCATTACAATATATTCTTTGGGGTCAATATTAACCTGATAGCAAAAGTATAAAAACATATCACGATATAAAAAATGACAGACCAATATCCCCTTATGAATAAACATGCAAAAATCCTGATGAAAATGTATAGTAAACCAAAATCCAGCAATATATAAAAGAGATTATGCACCATGGCTAAGTGGAACTTTCAGAAATTCAAAGTTGGTTCAACATATGAAAATCAATTAATGTAATATACTAAATGAATAAAAAGAAAACATAATTTTCTCCATAAGTGTAGAAAAAAGCATTTGCCAAAACCCAACACTTTCATGATAAGCGGTCAACAAACTAGAAATCGAATCGAACTTCTTAAACCTGATAAAGAACATCTATGGAAAACCCAAAAGACTGTGACAAGATGCTCAACAAGACACAGCCAGGATGAGCTTCTCCCACTGAGAGAGACCAGAATATAGGGTAGAACAGCATATTCCAAACAAATCGTCTCAGAAAATACACTGAGAGTGAGTAGAGAGAAAAATATAGAAATTGGGGCTGAAGAGAGAGGAAGCTGCGAACCCTGCACTGGGCTGCCAAGCACTGGGATTCATTCCTGGCCCTGAAAGGCTCCTAAGGTAGGGGTGAATGAACTAACTGTGGAGTAACCCACTCTCACCACAGATCTGCAAGATCTTAACTGCAGGAAATCCCATGACTCTTACGGACATATAAATTGAAAGGAGGAACTGCACAAAGAGATGGAACAGACAGAGCCCAGGGAGTTGCCATGGGGATAGCTGCAAAGGAACATGGCCGTAGGTGCCCATTCATCAATGCTCTCCATACTCCTCTAGATGGCTCTCAGCTGTGTTAACTACAGGACTTGAAGAGAGCAGAGCTGTCTTTCCCACAGAACAAGGGCAAAACTGATCTAAGTGCCCCCTGTCCACTTCACCATGGGAGCGGGCACACAGTGAAGCCACCACTGCTCAACCAGAGGGCTTTTGCAGGTGACCACTACCAGATTGCTTTCACTGGGGGCCCCTCCCACCATCCCACCAGAGTGCTTTCCCCAGTGCCCCCGCCCCCACCACTGCCCCACTGGAGCCCTTTAGCCAGTGGCTCCCTGCCGCTCTGAGGGAGTGCTTGTGACTATTGCCCCCACTGCCCTGACGTAGTGCTTTTACAAACCAACCCCCACTGACCTGATGGAGCACTTTCACCTTCTAACCCCAACAGAATGCTTTTACCAGCAGCTTGGGAGACTCTCAACCCCCCTAGCACAGCTGGTGCTCAGTCTCAAGGGGCCAGATAACAAGACTACGGGCTCAGTCCCAGTCCCCCAGGATAAAAGCAGCAGTCCAAGAGTGACAAGGTGAGCCTTGGCCCTCTAAAAGCATCCAGACGTGAAGCCAATCAACCATATTTAACTTGCACCACAAACACTCAAGAGAAATTAAGACTATAAAAACAAGAAGCCCCATCCAAAAGACAGCAATTTCAAAGAATAAATTAACATCAGCTTTCACAGGTGACAAAGAACCAGCACAAAAACTCTGGCAACTCTAAAAGCCAGAGTGTCGTCTTATCTCCAAATGATCACACTAGCTCCCCAGCAATGGTTCTTACCAGATTGAAATGGTTGAACTGTCAAACACAGAATTCAGCCTCTGGATGGAAACCAAGCTCAAAGAGATACAGAGGGTTGAAACCAAACAAGAAAAATGGTAAAATAATGCGAGAGTTCAAAGATGACCTAGCCATCTTAAGAAGGAACCATACTGAACTTCTGATAATAAATTTAGTACACAAATTTCATAATACAATTGGAAGCATTAGCAACAGAATAGATCAAGCTGAGGAATCCCAGAGCTCAAAGACCACTTCTTTGAATCAATGCAAGTAAACAAAAATTTAAAAAATAATTTTAAAAATGCACAAAATCTCTGAAAAATATGGAGTTATGTAAAGAGACCAAACCTATAACTCATTGGTATTCCTGAATGAGGAGAAAGAGTAAGGAACTTTGAAAACATATTTTAGGACACAGTCCACGAAAATTTTCCCAATATCACTAGAGAGGTCATCATGCAAATTAAAAAATTCAGAGAACGCTTTTGAGATATCATACAAGACAAACATCCCCAAAACACAGACTCATCAGATTTTCCAAAGTGAATGTGAAAGAAAAATTGTAAAGACAGCTAGAGAGAAGGATCAGGTCACCTATAAAGGCAGCCTTACCAGGCTAACATGGGCCTTTCACCAAAAACATTAGAAGCCAGAAGAGATTGGGGGCCTATTTTCAGCATCTTTAAGAAAATAAATTACAACAAATAACTTCATATCCCACCAAACGAGGCTTCATATGTGAAGGCGAAATAAATTCCTTTTCAGAGAAGCAAATGCTAAGAGAATTTGTTACCACTAGATCTGCCTGAAAAGGCATCCTTAAGTGAGTGCTAAACTTGGAAATGAAAGAAAGATACCTACCATCACAAAAACACACTTACATACATATGCCACAGACACTATTAAGCAACTACATAATCAAGTCTACATAACAACGATCTAACAACATGATGACAGGATCATATCCTTGCACATCAATATTAACCTTGAACATAAACAGGCTAAATGTCCCCACTTAGAAGGCATAGAGTGGCAAGCTGGATAAAGAAGCAAGACTCAACTGTCTGCAGTCTTCAGGAGACCCATCTCATATGCGATGATACCCACAGGTCCACAGTAAAGGGATGGAGAAATATTTATCATGCAAACAGAAAACAAAGAGCAGGGATTGCTATTCTTATATCAGATAAAACAGACTTTAAACCAACAGTAATTTAAAAGGACAAAGAAGGTCGTTACATAATAAAAAAGGGTTCAATTCAACTAGAAAACTTAACTATTCTAAATATATATACACCCAAATTTGGAACACTCAGATTCATAAAACAGGTACATAGAGACTTATGAACAGATGTAGATTATGATAAAATGATATTAGAAGACATCAACACCTCACTGACAATGTTTCAGACCATCCAAGCAGAAAACTAATAAAGATATGTTGGATTTAAACTCAACACTTGAACAATTGGATATAATAGACATCTACAGAATACTCCACCAAATAAGAACAGAATGCACATTCTTCTCATCTGCATGCAGTACATGCTCTAAGATGGATCACATGCTTGACCATAAAACAAGTTTCAACAAATTTAAAAAAAAATCTAACCATATCACTCACATTCTAAGACCAAAGTATAACAATAATAGAAATCAATACTAAGAAGATCTCTCAAAAGCATACAGTTACATGGAATTAAACAATGCACTTATAAATGACTGTGAGTAAAAAACAAAATCAATGGAGAAACCAATAAATTATTTGAAACTAATGAAAAAAGAGCCACAACATACTAGAATTGTTGGGACAGAGCTAAAGAAGTGTTAAGAGGTAAGTTTATAGCACTAAAGACGTCAAAAAGGAAGATCTCAAAGTAACAACCTAACATCAAACCTGGAGGAACTAGAAAAACAAGAGCAAACAAACCCCAAAGCTAGCAGGAGAAAATAAATAACCAAAAATCAGAGGAAAACGAAATAAAACTGAGATGCAAAAATTCATACAAAGATCTACAAAACCAAAAGTTTGTTCTTTCAAAGAATACGCAAGATTGATAGTCTGCTAGTTCAACTAACAAAGAAAAAAATGGAGAAGATAAAAATAAGTTCAATCAGAATGGAAAAAAGTGACATTACAATAACCCCATGGAAATACGAAAAAAAATAAATAATCACAGACTATAACAAACACCTCTATGCACATAAACTAGAAAACCTAGAAGAAATGGGTAAGTTTTTGGAAACACATAGCCTCCCAACATTGAAAAACTTGATACCCTGAGTAGACCAATAACAACTTCTGAAATTGAATCAGTAATAAAAAACACCTACTAAGCAAAAAATAAAGCCCTAGATCAGATGGATTTACAGCTGAATTTGACCAAATGTGCCAAGAAGAGCTAGTACCAATCCTACTAAAATTATACCAAAAAATCAAGGACAAGGGGCACCTCCCTATCTCATTCTATGAAGTCAGCACCATTAAGATACCAAAACCTCACAGAGACACAATAATAGAAGGATACTTCAGGCCAATACCCCTGATGAACATACACACAAAAATCCTCAACAAAATACTAGCAAACCAAATTGAGCACCACAACAAAAAGTTAATACCTCATGATTAAATAGGCTTCACTCCTGGGATGCAAGGTTGATTCAACATCTGCAAATCAATAAATGTGATTCACCACAAAATAGAATTAAAAACAAAACCACGTACCCATCTCAAGAGATGCAGAGAAGGCTTTTGATAAAATACAACATCACTTCATATTAAAAATCCTCAACAAATTAGGCTCTGAAGGAACATACATCAAACTAATTACAGCCATGTATGAAAAACCCACAGCCAACATCATGCTGAATGAGCAAAAGCTGGAAGCATTCCCCTTGAGAACTGGAACAAGGCAAGGATGCCCACTCTCACCACTCCTACTTAACACAGTGCTGAAATTTGTAGCCAGAGCAATTAGGCAAGAGAAAGAAATAAAAGGCACCCAAATAGAAAAAGAGGAAGTCACACTATCTGTCTTTGCAGATGATATGATTCTATTGCTAGAAAATGCTAAAGACTCTGCCACAAGGCTCCTAGAACTGAAAAATGACTTCAGTTAAGTTTCAGGATACAAAATTAATGTACAAAAATCAATAGCATTTCTATATGACAATAACATTCACATTGAGAGCCAGATCAATAATGCAATCCCATTTGCAATAGCCACAAAAAGAATAAAATATCTAGGAATACATCCAAACAAAAACATGAAGGATCTCTACATTGAGAACTACAAAACAGTACTGAAAGAAATAGAGACAACACAAACAATTGGAAAAATATTCCATGCTCATGTATGGGAAGAATTAATATCATTTAAATGGCCATACTGCCCAAAGCTATCAATATATTCAATGCTATTCTTATCAAACTACCAATGCCATTTTTCACAGAAGTATAGAAAGCAATTTCAAAATTCACATAGAACCAAAAAAAGAGCCTGAATAATCAAAGCAATCCTAAGCAAAAAGAGCAAAGCCAGAAGCATCACACTTACCAACTTGAAACTACACTACAAGGCTAAAGTAACCAAAGCAGCATAATACTGGTACAAAAACACATCCATGGACCAATGGAACAGGAGAGAGAACCAAGAAATACAGCTGCACACTTACAACCATCTGATATTTGACAAAGTTGACAATGACAAGTAATGGGGAAAGGACTTCCTATACAATAAACTGTGCTTTGATAACTGGATAACTATATGCAGAAGATTAAAATTGGACCCCTTTCTTTAACCACTTACAAAAATCAACTCAAGCTGAATTAAAGATTTAAGCATAAGACCTCAACCTATAAAAACCCTAAATGAACACCTAGGAAATACTTTTCTCAACATAGGCCTTGGCAAAGATTTTATGACTAAGTCCCAAAAAGCAACTGTAACAAAAACAAAAATTGACAAATGAGACCTAATTAAACTAAAGAGCTTCTGCACAGCAAAAGAAACGATCAACAATGTAAACAGACTACATACAAAATGGGAGAAAATATTCGTAAACTATGCATCTGACAAAGGTGTAATATCCAGAATCTATAAGGAACTGAAACAAATCAAGAAGCAAAAACCAAATAGCCCCATTTAAAAAATGGTGAAAGGACATGAGCAGACACTTCCCAAAAGAAGACTATTTAAAGGAGCTATTAAATATATGAAAACATTCACAACTCCACTTATCATCAAAGATTTGCAAATCAAAACCACAGTGAGATACCTTCTCACACCAGTTAATATGGTTATTATTAAAAAGTCAAAAAATAGCAGATGCTGCCTAGGTTTGTGGTGAAAAGAAAATGCCTATACACTGTTGGTGGGAATGTAAATTAGTTCAGCCACTGTGGAAAGCCATTTTGAGATTTCTTAAACAACTTAAAACAGAACTAGTATTCAAACCAGCAACCGCATTACTGGATATACCTCTAAAAGCAAATATATCATTCTACAAAAAAGACACATGCACTCATATGTTCATTGCTGCATTATTAACAATAGCAAAGATATGAAATCAGCCTGGATGCCCTTCAACAGTGGCCTGGATTTAAGAAAATGTGGTATAGACCCTGGAATACTACACAGTCATAAAAACAATGAAATCATGTCCTTTGCAGAAACATGGATGCAGCTTGAGGCCATCATCCTAAGCCACCTAACACAGGAACAGAAAATCAAATATCACGTGTTCCCACTTACAAGTGGGAACTAAACACAGTATACAAGGACACAAAGCTGAGAACAACAGACACTGAGGACTACTTGGAGAGGATAGTGGAAGTGGGTTGATAGTTAAAAAACTAATTATTGTGTACTAAACTCACTCCCTGAGTGACAGCATAATTCCTTCAGCAAACCCCATTAACATGTATTTTACCCATGTAAAAATGAGTAAAGCACATGTAGCTCCTGAACCTACTTTAAAAATAAAAAGAAAAAAAAAGCGCTTTTAGGTAAAACCAGCTTAATAAATGTGGAAAAAATATATGTCAAACTTATATTTCACTTAACGGCAAAAGATTGACATAAGTAAATAAATAAATCGGGAAGAAGACGAGGATTTATGCTCTAGAAACTTATTTTCAACATTGTAATCGAGGTTCTAACCAGGCCAATCAGGCAAGAAATACAATATATCCAGATCAGAAAGGAAGTAAAAGTTTCTTCCTTTGCAGATGACAGGATTTTTTATTAATATATAAACTATCTTAAAGAATCCACAAGAAAACCTATGAGAAGCAATAAACCAATTCAACAATGTTGCAAGTTACAAAATGAAAATACAAAAATCATACGTAAATACAGTGGTCACGTGTGTTTATGTACACTGGATAGATATGAAGAAACCAAAATTAATATTAAGAAAACAATTCTACTTATAACAGCATCAAAAAGAATAAAATGTTTAGAAATAAATTTAAGAAAAAAGGGTGAAGTATAAACTCTGCAAACTAAAAACTATTGCTGAAAGCAACTAAAAAAGATGCAATTAAATGGAAAGGCATCCATGCTTATGAATTAAAAGAGTTAATATTGTAAAGATGACACTGCTTCCCATGTTCAACTAAATATTCAACAGAATCCTTATCAAAATCCCAGCTGGGTTTTTTGCAGGTATTGACATGCTGATCCTATGAGTCATACAGAAATGCAAGGGATGCCAAAGAAAAAAAAGAATTTAAAAAGAAAGAACAACACTGGAGGACTCACACTTCCAAGTTTCAAAATGTACTACACAGCTACAGAAATCAAAACTGTGTGGAACTGGCAAAGGTACACATATAGTACACTGACATATAAACCATAGAAATATAATTGAATGCCCCGAAATATACCTTTACATGCAGCATTATTTACAATAGACAAGTTATGGAATCAACCCAAGTGTCCATCAATGGATGAATGGATAAAGAAAATATGTCTGTGTGTGTGTGTGTATATATATATATATACATATAAAACATTTTCTTTATATATGTTCCTTTATATATGTTTTTATAAAGAATATATGTTCTTTATAAAATATCTTAAAGAATATATGTTGTTTATAAAAACATATATAAAGGAACATATATAAAGAACATATATATGTTCTTTATGTTCTTCTTATGTCTACATGTGTTCTTCTTATGTTCTCTATATATGTTCCTTTATATATGTGTCTTTATATGTGTTTCTTATGTAACATTTCCACTGTATATGTGTATTTTATATATATATTATATATTTATGTTTTACATATATATAATATACACACACATATACAGTGGAATACTATCCAGCCTTATAAAAAAGAAGATTCTGTATTTGCAACAACATGGATGAATGTGGAGGACACTATACTAAGTGAAATATGCCAGATGCAGAAATACAAATACCACATGGTCTCACTTATATGTGGAATCTAAAATAATGTTGGTTAGCAGAGGCTAGGTGGGGTGAAATAGGGTGATGTTGGTCAAACAGTAAAAAGTTGCATCTGAACAGTAGGAATAAAGTAAGGTTATGGATATATTAATTAGTTTGATTAAATCATTTCCCACTGTGCATATATACACATATATAATATATATTATATAAAATAGCATCACACTACTTCTAGTTGTATGCAATTATAATTTGTTAAAATCATTAAATTAACAAATATATAACTACATATTTATGTATGATTATCTTATTTTTGACAAAGCTGCCAGGAAAATTTAATGGGGAAAGAGTGGTCATTTCAGCAAATGGTGCTTGGACAACTGAATGAACTTAAATCCCTATCCCATATCATATACAAAAAGTAACTCAAAATAGATCACAGACGTAAGTGCTCAAGGTAAAACTATTAAATGAAAACAGAAAAGTAAATCTTTATGACCTTGGATTAGGCAATGTTTCCTTAGCAAAAACAAAATATAAGCAATAACAAAAAAAAAGATGAATTTGCCAAAATTTAAAACTTACATACTTCAAAGCATACCCTCAAGAAAATAAGACGACCCATATAATGGTAAAACATTTTCAAACCACATATATAATAACAGACTTGTAATCAGAATATATAAGGAAATGTTAAAATTGAGCAATAAAAATACAAATAACCCAATTTAAAGATGGACACAGGATCTGAAAAGACATTTCTCCAAAGAAGATATATAAATGGCTATAATCACATAAAAAGATGCTCAACATATTTAGCCATCAGAGAAATGTAAATCACAACTACAATGAGGAACCACTTTATAGCCATCAGAATGGCTGTAATCAAAAGTGTAAATAACAACAAGCACTGGCCAGAAATTGGGAAAATCAGAACAATACTCATACATTGTTGGTGGGAATGTAAAATAGTGAAGCCAACTTGGAAAAGTCTCACGTTCCTCAAATTGTTAAATACAGAACAATCATGTAACTCTTCTACATATATATCCAAGACACAAAAACAGGTATTCCAACAAAAAATTTGTACACCGATGTTCATAGCAGCATTATGCGTAACAGCCAAAAAGTGGAAACCACCCAAATGTCCATCAACTGATTAATGGGCAAACATAATGTGCTTTTATCCATACAATGGAATGTTATTCAATAAAACATGTGAAGTACTAATGCATGCTACAACATGGATGAAACTCAAAAATGTGGTAACTAGAAGACACAAACCACAAAAGACCACATATTGTATGACTTTAGTTATATAAAATGTCTAGAATAGGTAAATCCACAGAGACAGAAAGTAAGTTGGTGTTTGCATAGTGCTGAGGGAGTGGGGGATGGGGAGTGACTGCTATTGGGTAGAGTTTATTTGTTGGGTGATGAAACATTCTAAACTTAAATCTTAGTGATGGTTGCATGATTCTGTGAATATAGTAAAAGTCACTGCCTTATACACTTTAAATGAGCAAAGTTTACAGTATGTGAATTGTATATCTCAGTAAAGATGTTAAAAAGACAATTGTGTGAAAATAGGAATTATGGTAACATTATAGTACTCTTTACAAAGGATTTCAAAATTTTGTTTGCTAAATAAAGGAAGGTGATAATAGATACAGGGGAAGAATGATGGGTGGAAGCAGAAGACTAGAAGGTTCAAATTAATCAAATGTGCATGTTTCTTAATCAGTTTTGTTGGAATTCTTCAAAAGAAAAGAAATATGTATTTTACATTAAAAAGATTAGACCAATGTCAACCTTTCAATATTTTTCAGCATCCACAACTGGGTAATAAAATCCATGTGAATCCTCATTTTTCCTTTTGCTGAATGAATGGAATATGTGCAATGAAATCTGACTTCACCAACATTTTCTGTATTTAAACTTTCCCAAGCAAGTAATTAACAACTTCTGTTTTAAAATTCTGTTTACCCCTACACTCAGACTCCCAAAGAAATGTTGACATTTAACAATGCAATCGACGTCCAATTTGCATTGTTTGGTGAAAATGAAAATCTTCCTGAGAGTCAAATATTCCCAAGAACAAACCAGCTCAATAACTGAACATAACAAATAAACAAGTCTGATTTACAAACAGAAACAATCTGAATGTAATATAACAAGTGGCAAAGATTATATTTTCCGGCCAAATATTTTGGAGATTTTTTTAAATAAAACTCACCTTCATATTCAGAATTTCACTTGCATTTTTGTATCTACAAAACATATTTCTCAGCTGACAAAATAAAATATTTCAGTTTAGGAAGACTCAATTCAACCTTTTACTTTAATATACTATGTTAATTTTAAGTTATATAAACATGGCAAAAAATACATCTATTTTTAAAGAATGCCCATTTTGGCAGTGTTAACTTATTTGACATTAAAATAAAAGTGAAAATGACCACATAAAATATTGCAAGTATCATCAGCAACATTTAATAAAGCTTAGGAGAAAATATTGACTAAAAAACTTTTTTTGCGTTTCCAGTGTATTACAAAGCACCCTGTTTTCTCTAGAGTTCTTTATGCCGTATTTTTGTAAACCCAATAAAATTGTTCATTTGACCTCATGTGTATTGTGAGATTAAAAGCCCTAAAAAGAAAACATAGAAAACGAAAACCTTGAATTGCATTCAAAGCTTTTTCTTTCTACTATTTTCTCTTTTTGCATTCCCAACCCTCTAAAAAAAGATATTACTCATCTAAAATTACTATTATATAAACTCCAAGAACACATAAGTTATGTTTCTAAAAGTACTGAGTTTATTTTAAAGCATAGCATCAAGTTTGAATCTCATGAAACAAAGGCATCTCTTCATTATATGTTGATTTTGGCAAAAAGTAAAGACCAGCATACAATAGATATACATGATAATGTAGTTTAAAGTAAGAGGTGTTTGCTTTTGGTAATAAGGTAGTGTGAAACTTACTATGTAAATCTATGTTGGTTATTTAGGCCATGTTTCTTGTCTTTTTAGAAGTCTTCAGGCTTAATATTTTAAAAGTTGCCCTTTTTATTTGATACTTCTACTTTTTGCTGGAATAGAGGCATAGAAAAGATTCTCACTGCTTAGACTAATACACTCATACAATACATGGCTAAACTGAAATAAAAAGGTAAGATATCTTAGGAATAGTAGCATTTACGATTGTGAGTTGTTTTAAACGGGCAAAACTACTAAGATTTGTTTTAGCAAAAACTCAAGGGAAACCAATCTTGGGAAATGATCGCCAACCTGTTTTATAAGAGTTATTTAAAAGTCTAATCTCTTTGCTAGAGAATGCCATTTTAAGCTTACTTGGCATCCCACTTTCATGATATACATATGCATATTTCACTGAGGCAAGGAACTTGGATATATCATTCCATCATAGCTGTGTAGTTAAACAAGGAACTTGTCCACTGAATGAATCTATTGCTTTTGTGCGTGTAAAAGGATATCTATTCTGATCACTGAAATGTGCAATGAAAGGCTACATTTAGAAGCTCAGAAAATCTGTGGTTCAATATGTAGAAGTTTCATCTACAAAAGAATGGGAATGTTATAATTACGATAGGAAATTACAACGTTTAACATATCATAAACATTACCTGCAAGAACTTTTTAATCGCAGTAATATAGCATCAAAAAGGTACATATTCTTGTTCATGAAAATTAATGAGGCAACTTAGGAATGAGAGACAGGTTATTTCTCTTTCTCCTTTTTAATGTAGAGCTGCAGATACACTTAAGTTGCCATAGTAATGGCAGAAGGAGGGAAGGGTGTTTTCTTTGTAAAATCATTGGTGTATACAGGATGGCTTGGCAGGTAACAACACTATTTCTACGATATCTACTTATTAATATAATTTTATGTTAATATCCCATTCTCCTCACCATAATCACCATAATGTTCAAATTTTAATTTTGTATTCATTTTGAATGTTTGCATGTGAAAACCCAACTAATCTATTATTTCAACATTAAGCCTATTTCTTTTGAAGCAAAGCTAATTCTGCTATTTTATAAAAGCAATGGAGACTCATTTTTCAGGATGCTTAAAGCACAGTGCTTAAGGTTCATGCTTGCTGCTTTGCTTGCACTTCTGCTTCCTGAAATGAAAAACAAACAAAACAGATAAGTTTAAACATCACAGAGCAGACACCCATGTGTATTTTAGTCAGACTACATTAGTTCCAACTACTAAGAATAAACAAAAGCCCCCAGAAGAGATTTCTTAAAAAGTTCTTAATAGAAAAACTATATAATACAAACAGATTTCTAGAAACAGATACACAAAAAGACTACCTAATCATTCCTAATGATTTGGAATACTTTCATGAAAGCAAGTGATATACAATTATAATTGATATTTTACTTAAAAATAGTCAGTTTCCTTTTTGTGTGATTTTTTTTCATGAAAATTGAGAATATAAAAACATGGTTACTTAAGTTTAAAATTAGTTGGGTTTTGGTTAATTAAGGTTTAAATTACTTAGAAAATGTGCTATCCATTAAAATATTGTAGTTTTCATGTTTTATGATAGAATACACACCAAAAAATCAGGTTGTCTTCCTTCTCCTCTGGATAGTGAGGTACTCACCTCTAGCATAGGAACTCTGACCTACTTGACACAAAATAAACTTCAAGGAAAGTTTGTTGAACTAAAGATGAGTGGCAAGATTGACTCCAGAAAAGGAAACATCAGACTTAAGTTGTAGAAATCAAGCGTGGTAGACAACATCATTCTAAACACCTGTCACTAAATCAATACTTGACAGTCTCAGGAGGACTGATACTGTCCAAATGAGTCCCAGTATTACATGCAAAAGAAGGGAGAAAAGCTAAAAGAGACACTAGATTTTTACCCAAAAAAGGCAAAAGTAGAGGAAAGAAGAAAATATTAAATGACACCAAAATTCATTCTTCATATCCTTTAAAAAAATAACGAAATATACTACTGACTCATTGATATGGTTTGGCTCTGTGTCCCCACCGAAATCCCATGTCAAATTGCAATTCCCAGTGTTGGAGGAGCAGCCTGCTGGGAGGATATTTGATCATGAGGGCAGTTTCTAATGGCTTAGCACCATCCTCCTACTGCTGCTTGTCTAAAAGTGTGTAGCACCTCTCCCTCTCTCTCCTGCCACCAGGCGAGGACGTGCTTCCTTCCCCTTCACCCTTTGCCATGATTGTAAGTTTCCTGAGGCCTCCTCAGCCATGGCTCCTGTACAGTCTTTGGAGGTGTGGGTCAATTAAACCTCTTTCTTCTTTATATATTGTCCAATCTCAAAAAGTTCTTTATAGCAGTGTAAGAATGAACTAATACATAAAATTGGTACCAGGGGTGGGGTATTACTATAAAGATACCTGAAAATGTGGAACCAACTTTGGAGGAAAGGTTGGTACAATTTGGAGGGCTCAGAAGAAGGCAGAAAGATGATGGAAAGTTTGGAGCTTCCTAGAGACTTGTTAAATTGTTATGACCGAAATGCTGATAGTGACATGGACAATAAGGTCCATACTGAGGTGGTCTCTGATGAAGATGAAGAACTTATTTGAAACTGGAGTAATGGTCACAACTACTGTGCTTCAGCAAAGAGACTGGTGACACTGTGCCCCAGCTCAAGGGATCTGTTGAAATTTGCACTTGAGAGAGATGGTTTAGGGCAAGCTTGTCAAACCTGTGGTCTGTGGGCTGCATGCTGCCCAGGACAGCTTTGAATGTGGCTGTATTAGTCTGTTTTCATGCTGCTCATAAAGACATACCCAAGACGAGGGAGAAAAAGAGGTTTAATTGGACTTACAGTCCCACATGGCTGGGGAGACCTCAGAATCATGGCGGAAGGTGAAAGACACTTCTTAAGAGGAGGCAGCAAGAGAAAATGAGGAAGATGCAAAAGTGAAAACGCCGGATAAAACCAACAGATCTGGTGAGATTTATTCACTACCACAAAAGCAGTATGGAGGAAACTGCCTTCATGATTCAAATTATCTCCCAACGAGTCCCTCTCAAAACAGGTGAAAATTATAGAAATAAAACTCAAGATGAGATTTGGGTGAGAACAAAGTGACAAACCATATCATTCTACCCCTGACCTCTCCAAATCTCATGTCCTCACATTTCAAAACTAGTCATGCCTTCCCAAAAGTCCCACAAAGTCTTAACTCATTTCAGCATTAAACCAAAAATCCACAGTCTGAAGTCTCATCTGAAACAAGTAAAGTCCCTTCCGCCTATGAGCCTGTAAAATCAGAAGCAAGTTCATTACTTCCTAGATACAACGATGGTACAGGCATTGGGTAAATACAGATGTTCCAAATGGGAGAAATTGGCCAAAACAAAGGGGCTACAGGCCCAGTGAAAGTTCAAAATCCAGCAGGGCAGTCAAATCTTAAAGCTCCAAAATGATCTCCTTTGACTCCATGTCTCACATCCAGGTCACAGTGATGCAAAAGGTAGGTTCCCATGGTCTTGGGCAGCTCTGCCCCTGTGGCTCTGCAGGGTACAGCCTCCCTCCCAGACCTTTTCACAGACTGGTGTTGAGTGTCTGCAGCTTTGCCAGGCACATGGTGCAAGCTGTCAGTGGATCTACCATTCTGGGGTCTGAAGGACAGTGGCCCTCTTCTCACAGCTCTACTAGGCGGTGCCCCGGTAGGGACTCTGTGTGGGGGCTCCAACTCCACATTTCCCTTCTGCACTGCCCTAGCAGAGGTTCTCCATGAGAGCCCCACCTCTGCAGCAAACTTCTGCTTGGATATCGAGGCATTTCCATACATCCTCTGAAATCTAGGCAGAGATTCCCAAACCTCAATTTTTGACTTCTGTGCACCCACAGGCTCAACACCACATGGAAGTTGCCAGGGCTTGGGGCTTGTGCCCACCACAGCCATGGCACAAGCTGTACTTTGGCCCCTTTTAGTCATGGCTGGAGTGGCTGGGACACAGGGTACAAAGTCCCTACACTGCACACAGTATGCAGACACTGGGTCTGAACCACAAAACCATTTTTTCCTCCTAGGCCTCTGAGCCTGTGATGGAAGGGGCTGCCGTGAAGACCTCTGACATGCCCTGGAGACTTTTTCCCCATTTTCTTGGGGATTAATAATTGGCTCCTCATTACTTATGCAAATTTCTGCATCCGGCTTGCATTTCTTCTCAGAAAATGGGCTTTTCTTTTCTATTACATTGTCAGGCTGCAAATTTTCCAAACTTTTATGCTCTGCTTTCCTTATGAAAGTGAATGCCTTTAACCACACCCAAGTCACCTCTTGAATGCTTTACTGCTTCAAAATTTCTTCTACCAGATACCCTAAACCACCTTTCTCAAGTTCAAAGTTCTATAAATCCCTAGGGCAGGGGCAAAATGCCACCAGTCTCTTTGCTAAAACATATCAAGAATCACCTTGCTCCAGTTCCCAACAAGTTCTTCATCTCTATCTGAGACCACCTCAGCCTGGACCTTATTGTCCATATCACCATCAAGCTTTTGGTCAAAGTCATTCAATAAGTCTCTAGGAAGTTCCAAACTTTCCCACATTTTCCTGTCTTCTTCTGAGCCCTCCAAACTGTTCCAACCTCTGCCTGTTACCCAGTTAAAAAGTCACTTCCACATTTTTTTTGAGATGGAATCTCACTCTATCACCCAGGCTGTTGTGCCGTGGTGCAATCTCAGCTCACTGCAACCTCCACCTCCCTGATTCAAGTGATCCTCCTGCCTCAGCCTCCCAAGTAGCTGGGACTACAGGCACATGCCACCATGCCCAGCTACTTTTTGTATTTTTAGTAGAGACAGGGTTTCAGCATGTTGGCCAGGCTGGTCTCAAACTCCTGATCTCAAGTGATCCACCTGCCTCGACCTCCCAAAGTGCTGGGATTACAGGCATGAGCCAGCGCACCTGGCCACATCCACATTTTTAAGTATCTTTTCAGCAACACTCCACTGTGCTGGTACCAATTTACCATATTAGTCCATTTTCACCCTGCTGACAAAGGCATACCCGAGGCTGGGAAGAAAAAAAAAATGTTTAATTAGACTTACAGTTCCACATGGCTGAGGAGGCCTCAAAATCATGGGGGAGGAGAAAGGCACTTCTTACACAGTGGCAGCAAGAGAAAATGAGAAAGATGCAAAAGCAGAAACCTCTGATAAAACTATCAGATCACAAGACTTATTCACTACCACTAGAACAGTATGGGGGAAACTGCCCCCATGATTCAAATTATCTCCCACTGAGTCTCTCCCACAACACGTGGGAATTGTGGGAGTACAATTCAAGATGAGATTTGGATGCAGACACAGAGCCAAACCATATCAATGATCCAACACAAAGTCATAAACTTTCTTAAAACATTATGAGATTTTTTTTTTGCAATATTTTTTAGTTCATCAGCTATCACTAGTGTCATTGTATTTTATGTGTGGCCCAAGACAATTGTTCTTTTTCCATTGTGGTCCAGGGAAGCCAAATGATTGGACATCCCTGATTTAGGGTCTCTGGTGGAAGAAATTTCTAAGGAGCAAAGGGTTCAAGATGTAGCCTGGCTGCTTCTAACAGCATAGCTCATATACATTCACAAAGAAATGGTCTGAAATTGCATCTTACATTGAAAAGGGAAGCAGATAATAAAAGTTTGGAAAATTTGAAACCTAACCGTATGGTAGAAAATAAAAACCCATTTTCAGGGAAGAAATTCAAGCTGACTGCAGAAATTTGCATAAGTAAAGGGAGCTGAATGTTAATAGCCAAGACAATAAAGAAAATGCCTCCAGGGCATTTCAGAGGCCTTTATGGCAGCCCCTGCCATCAAAAGCCCAGAGGCCTGGAATAGTAAAATGGTTTTGTGGGCCAGGCACAGAGCTCCACTGCTCTGTGCAGCCTCAGGATATGGCAACTCATGTTCCAGCCACTCCAGCTACAACCATGGCTAAAAGGGCCCCAGATATGTGTCAGGCCACTGCTCCAGATGATGGAAGCTACAAGCCTTGGGTACTTCCACATGATGTTAAGGCTGTGGGGGTACAGCAGGCAAGAGTTGAAGCTTGGGAGTCACGGCCTAGATTTCAGAGGATGTATGAAAATACCTGGATGTCCAGGCAGAAGTCTGCTGCAAGCATGGAGCCCTCATGCAGAACCTCTACTGGGGCAGTGCTGAGAGAAAATGTGGGGTTGGAGCCCCCACACAGAGGCTACACTGGGGTACTGCCTAGTGTAGCTGTGAGAAAGGGGCCACTGCCTCCAGGAAGAATGGTAGATCCACTCACAGCTTGCACCGTGGACCTGGTAAAGCCACAGGCACTCATCACCAGCCCATGAGTGCAGTTGCCAAGGCTGTACCCTGCAGAGCTGCAGGATCAGAGTTGCCCAAGGCCCTGGTATCACATCCCTTGCATGAGTGTGCCCTGGATGTGAGACATGCAGTCAAAGAAGATTATTTTGAAACTTTAAGATGTAATAATTGTCCTACTTGGTTTCAGTCTTACATAGAGCAATTTTGTCAGTTTTGGCCAATTTCCCCCTTTTGTAATAGGAGCACTTACCTAATGCCTGTACTCCTACTGTATCTTGGAAGTAACTAACTTCTTTTTATTTTACAGGCTTATAGGAAAAATGGACTTGCCTCATCTCAAATGAGACTTTGGACTTGGACTTTTTAGTTAATGCTGAAAGGAGTTAAGACTTTGGAAGACTGTTGAGAAGAGATGACAGTATTTTGCAATGTGAAAAGGACATGAGATTTGGGAGGGGCCAGAGGCATAATGATATGGTTCAGCTCTGCATCCCCACCCAAATCTCATGTCAAATTGTAATTCTCATTGTTGGAGGAGGGGCCTGGTGAGAGCTGATTGGATCATGGGGGGTGGTTTCTAATGGTTTAGCACCATCCCCTTATTTCTGCTTGTCTAAAAGTGTGTAGCACCTAACTCAACGCCTCCTGCCAACAAGTGTAGATGTGCTTGCTTCCCCTTTGCCTTCCACCATGATTGTAAGTTTCCCGAGGCCTCCCAAGCCATGTCTGCTTTATAGCCTGTGGAACTGTAAGTAAATTAAACTTCTTTTCTTTATAAATTACCCAGTCTTGGGTAGTTGTTTATAGCAGTGTGAGAATGAACTAATAGACTCACCTTTGCAAATGCCTAGTCAAAAAAGGAAAAGTCCCTAAGTTCTTTTGAAGCTTTAACAGTGTTTAGATGTCAAAATGAATATGTTAAAGTCACAGTATGCATCTTGCTTCATTTTATAGAACAAGCTTTCAAGAATTTCTACACATAACTCAAAAAATAATTTATACTAAGACCCCTCAAAAACATAGCATACATAGTTGGAGAAGCAGTTGTATAATAATGCAAAAATGACCTAACATGAAATCCTTTTTCCTCTAAGGACCTAACATTGCTCCATAGCCAGTATTTTGTTCTTTTTTTTATTTTGAATTTTTGTATGTACATAGTAGGTATATATATTTATGGGGTATATGACATGTTTTGATACAGGCATGCAATGGATAATAATCACATCTGGGTAAACGGGGTATCCATAACTCCAATATGTATTGTTTGTATTATAAACAACATAATTATTATATTATTAGTTATCTTAAAGTATACAATTAATTTATTTTTGACCGTAGTCTTCATGTTTTGGTATCAAATACTAGATCTTACTCATTGTTTCTGTTTTTTGTGCCATTAACCAAACCCACTTCTCAATCACCCACTACCTTTCTCAACCTCTGGTAACCATCTTTCTATTCTCTATCTCCATGAGTTCAATTGCTTGATTTTTAGATCCCACAAATAAGTGAGAACGTGGTGATCGTCTCTCTGTTCTTGGCTTATATCACTTAAAATGGTAATCTCCAGTTCCCTCCATTTTGTTGCAAATGACTGGATCTCATTCTTTTTCATGGCTGAATACTACTCTATTATGTATAAATACCACATTTTCTTAACCCACTCATCTGTTCATGGACACTTAGGTTACTTCCAAATCTTGGCTATTGTGTACAGTGTGGCAACAAACATGAGATTGCAGATATCTCTTTGATATACTGATTTGCTTTTTTTAGTGTATATACCCAGCAGCAGGATTGCTGAATCATATGGTAGTTCTACTTTTAGGTTTTTGAGGAACCTCCAAACTGTTCTGTATAGTGGCTGTATTAATTTACATTCCCACCAACAGTGTATGAATGATCCCTTTTCTCCTCATCCTTACCAGCATGTATTATTGCCTGACCTTTGGATAAAAGCCATATTAACTGAGGTGAGATTATATCTCATTGTAGTTTTTATTTGCATTTCTCTAATGATCAGTGATGTTTAGCACACTTTCACATCTGTTTGCAACTCATATGTCTTCTTTTGACAAAGGATTATTCAAATCTTTTGCCTACGTTTTAATTGGATTATTAGAATTTTTCCTATAGAGTTGTTTTTTGTTTGTTTGAGGCAGTCTCACTCTGTCAACCAGGCTGAAGTGCAGTGGTACAATCTTGGCTCACTGCAACCTCCACCTTTTGGGTTGAAGTGATTTTCGTGTCTCAGCTTCCTGAGAAGCATGTCTTACAGATTTGTGCCACTACTCCCGGCTAATTTTTGTATTTTTAGTAGAGACGGGGTTTCACCTTGTTGGTCAGGCAGGTCTCAAACTCCTAGCCTCAAGTGATCTGCCCGTCTTAGTCTCCCAAAGTGCTGGGATTAAAGGTCTAAGCCACCATGCATGGCCCCTATAGAGTGGTTTGAGCCTCTCATATATGCTCGTTACCGATCCCCTGTCAGATGGGTAGTTTGCAAATATTTTCTCCCATTCTTTGGGTTGTCTCTTCACTTTGTTTATTGTTTCCTTTGTTGTGAAGAAACTTTTTAACTTGATGTGATCCCATTTGTCCATGATTACTTTCGTTGCCTGTGCTTTTGGGATATTTCTCAACAAATTTTTGCCCAGATCAATGTCCTGGAGAGTTTCTACAGTGTTTTCTTGTAGTCATTTCATAGTTTGAGGTATTAGATTTAAGTCTTCATTGTGAAATGGTTTTTGTATATGGCAAGAGATAGGGGTCAAGTTTCATTCTTCTGCATATGGATGTCCAGTTTTCCCAGCACCATCTATTGAAGTGACTCTCTTTTCCCCAGTGTATGTTCTTGGCACCTTTGTCAAAAATGAGTTCACCGTAGATGTGAGGATTTGTTTCTGGGTTCTCTATTCTGTCACCTTGGTGTATGTGTTTGTTTTTATGCCAATACCTTGCTGTTTTGATTAGTATAGCTCTGTATTATAATTGGAAGTCAGGTAATGTGATTCCTCTAGTTTTGTTCTTTACACTTAGGATAGCTATGGCTATTCTGGGTCTTTTGTGGTTACCCATGAATTTTAGATTTTTTTTTATTTCTGTGAAGAATGTCATTGATATTTTTATATTAATTGAATCTGTAGATTGTTTTGGACAGTATGAACATTTTAATGTATTGATTATTTCAATCCATGATCATGGAATATTTTTTCAATTTTTTATGTCATCTTCAATTTCTTTCATCAATGCTTTACATTTTCATTGTAGAAAACTTTAAGATCTTTGGTTAAGTTAATTCCTAGGTATTTAATTTTATTTGTGGCTATTGTAAATGGAATTACTTCTTATATTATTTTTCATATTATTTGCTGTTGACATATAGAAATGCTACTGACTTTGTATGTTGATTTTGCATCCTGCAACTTTACTGAGTTTGTTTATCAGTCCTAATGGTTTTTTGGTGAAGTCTTTAAAACTCTTTGAATTCAACATTATATCATTTGCAAACAGGGATAATTTGACTTCTTCATTTTGAGTTTGGATAACTTTAGGTATTTTTCTTGGCTGGTTGCTCTAGCTAAGACTCCCAGTACTATGTTAAATAACAGTGGTGAAAGTGGCATCAATGTAGTGCTCCATATCTTATAGGAAAGGCATTCAGTTTTTCCTCATTCAGTATGATACTAGCTGTGGTTCAGTCATATATGGCTTTTATTGTGTTGAAGTATGTTCCTTCTATACTAAGTCTTTTTGATGGCTTTTATCTTAAAAGACGTTGAATTATATCAAATGCTTTTTCAGCATCAATTGAAATGATCAGATGGTTGTTATCCTTCATTCTGTTGATATAATGTGTCACATTGGTTGATTTGCATATATTGAATGATCATTGCATTCCAGAAAAAATTCTCACTTGGTCAGGATGAATGATCTTTCTAATATAGTGTTGAATTCTGTTTGCTAATATATTTTTGAAAAATTTTGTATCAGTATTCATCAGAGATATTGTCCTGTAGTTTCTTTCTTTCTCTTTCTTTCTTTCTTTCTTTCTTTCCTTCCTTCCTTCTTTCTTTTTCTTTTTTATGTATTCTAGTGTGATTTTGGCACCAGGGTAATATTGGCCTTGTAGAATGATTTTGGAACTATTCGTTCCTCCTCTATTTATCAGAATAGTTTGAGTAAAATTGGTATTGCCATTTCTTTTTTATTATTATACTTTAAGTTCTGGGTTGCATGTGCAGAACATGCAGTTTTGTTACATAGGTATACACATGCCCTGGTGGTCTGCTGCACCCGTCAACCCGTCACCTATATTAAGTATTTCTCCTAATCTTGTCCCTCCCCTACTCCCCCACCCACAGACAGGTCCCGGTGTGTGATGTTACCCTCCCTGTGTCTATGTGTTCTCATTGTTCAACTCCCACTTAGGAATGAGAACATGCAGTGTTTGGTATTAGCATTTCTTTAAATGTTTGGTAAAATTCAGCAGTGAAGCCATTGGGTTTCAGGCTTTTATTTACTGATAAACATTTTGTTATGGCTTTGATCTTTTTACTTGTAATTGGTCTGTTCAGGTTTTGGATTTCTTCATGGTTCAATCTTGGTTGATTGTACGTGTCTAGAAATTTGTCTATTTCTTCTAGAATTTCCAATTTATTGGCATATAATTGCTTGTAGCAGCCACTAATAATCCTTTGAATTCCTGCAGTATAAGTTGTAATGTCTCATTTTCATCTATGATTTTTATTTAAATCTTCTCCACTTTTTTCTTAGTCTGGCTAAAAGTTTGTCAATTTTGTTTAACTTTTCAAAATACCAACGTTTTCTTTCATTTTGTATTGTTTTCTTCATTTCGATTTGTAACTAGTATTTTGGATTAATACTAGTTACACATATAGGGAAAGAAGTTTATTTCCCTAAAGTGACACACTATCAATCTTTCCTATAATTTGTCATAAATTCTGCAGCTCTAAGTTATCATTTTTAATGGGAGAAATCACTGGCATAGAAATCCAGAACAAAATTCATCTCAAAATTCTTTATAATTTGTCTTTAGAACACATCAAAGTTACAGTAAATTATTTACCTTTCTAATCTTATTTTATATATCAAATATGTGAATTTATCTGAACTCCTTATTAGTGCCTACAAGCAAATTGTCAGTATTTGTAGAATGAGTCATCCAATCAAACAGAGAGCTTTAAGAGCAAGCATATAATGTTCTCTTCCTCCGTATTCCCAATGTAAACATCATTCCATAAAGGCACTGGTTTTAAATCAGATAATCCTGGGCTAAAATTTCAGCTTCACTACTAAATCATTATATACCCTTTGATAAATTACTTAAATTATCCTCTCTAAAGTGCTTCTAATTATATCTATCCTAAAGGGATGGTGGAAAGATAAAATGAGATGTACCTGAGGTGCCTATCTCAGTGTTTGGCCCATTATAGGCATCCATCCTTCTTTCCTGCTTTTCCCCTCTCTTTTTTTTTTTTTTTTTTTTTTTTTTGCCTAGTAGCTAAAATCAATACCACAGCTAAGTTTATGAACATGCAGTCTCTCTTGGAGATGTAGTAAAAATAGGATGAATTCAGTATAAATAGGATTGCTTCAAATCTCACAGCAGAGATGGACTCCGGAGCTCCTCCCTGGAGCAGTTTAATTCAACTAAAGCTAACGAGGACATTTCTCTGACCCATACCCTCTATTCTTTCAACATAAGTGAACATGCCTTTGCCAATAGAGTCGTTTTCCTTTCTGCACAAGCATCACCAAATATTTATTTTGTGGTAAAAATATCAGTGATCTTATTTCATATCTCAAAACCATCATCTCCACTTTAAAGTAAGAAATGCCAGTACTAAGAAATATTTCATATTGACAAAATTGAGTGAATCACAGTAGACAAATACATACCTTGTTTTAAACAATCCAATATAAAAAAGAATACAACAATTATTTGTCTTACACAGAAGGATTCTTTGCCTTATGGAAATATTTGACACAGAGTACTTTTCAATATCAAGCTCTCCAGTGCATTGGTTTCAATTATTTTTTAAATGTAAAGAGTATGTTTGATAATTATTTAAAAGTAGAGAATAGGAGAAAATGCATATTAACTACCTTTCAGTTTCTTTTTTTGTCCTATCCATACATTTTAAATGTAATTAGAATATTAACCTTACTTTCAAAATAATTCTGTAGCTCATTTACATATATGTTTTCACAAATTTTCATTTTCTTCATGACAGTCCAAGTTCATTCAGTAGATAAACTATTTTTGTTGACGCTATCGTTAGATACTTAACTAGTTTCTAAAGTTCAGAATTAGACACAGTATAATACTTTGATTCATATTTTATCCATAAAGTCCATTCAATGCATGAATTTAGTTGAACCTCTTGTTAAATATGTTAAGCATTTAACTTGTTTTCAAAGTTTTAAGATTATAATTAACACTTCTATTCACATTTTTATCTATGAAGCTTTTTCCACGTATAGGATTATTTCACTTGATTATAATACCCAATGTGAAACCACTGGGTGAAGGAGTACCAATATTTTTGAGATCCTTGACACGTATTTGCCATTTTGGTTTTCAAAAAGGGGTACCAATTTATGCCAACATCAGTAACGTATTATAGCAACTGTTTCAATCCACCCTTCTCAGCACTATTATCATTTTGTTTTAGTTTTGCTGAATTTACAGCTAAACATTTTATCTCATTTTATCATATAACTTTTATTATCAATTCACTTTTTCAATGTGGGTTAACCAGTTGTCTTTCTTATTTAGTATACTTTCTGTTCATCTGGTTCTTTGTTGAAGGCTTATTATCCTGTTAAAGGGGAAAACTCTAGAAATTGAGCTGAAGTATAAAAATATCATTCTGACATGAAATGGATCACTTCTAGTCTTGGAAAAACCTATTAAATACCAAAATTCAAAATCTCCCTATCACCAATCCACTCTTCATGTTCATTGTCAATACCACACCTATTCTTGTTAACCCAGTCTATCAGGTCCTTCTTGCCCATCCTTCATAACATTCACTATTCATTTACTCTATTCCTACTCCTGAGCTTAAGCAATGATGGAAGAAACATGGTAACCAAGATGTCTAGCTTCCTATGGGCCCATCAGTTCTAACTACTGCTGGGCCCTGCTTAGCTGTTTTTTATTTATTTGTCTGTTTATTTATTTATTTATTTATGATCTTAGCCTATTCCCTAGCCAATTTTCAACTGAATCTGTTCAATTCTCCTCAGGGATCTAATGTTTCAAATTTCCCCTCACTCCTTGCGGATAAGTTTTCCTCCTGCCTTATACTTTCAAATCTGACTTTCCCTAACCTTCCCACACATTAAAATTTCTCTTTATTTTTATTCCTTTCTCCTAATTTCATCCACTCTCAGAACACCACATGCTATTTCCAAGGCTAACTTCTTCCCTGGATCACTGACTTTTCTATTTCCTCCATGATCTTTTCTTCATTTCCCAATCACCAAGGTTAGAGATCCCATGGCTAGCTTTAATCCCGCTCAGGTCTTTACAGGCACAAGCAACTCATTAATTCCTAAATCCTGTAACTTTTTTTTTTTTTGGTGGGGGGAGGCTCCTAAATCCATCTTTTCCTTTCCAAAACTGCTGTCCCATTTTAGGCCCTCTCAATCACTTTTTGATTTCATATGAATTTTAGGATTTTTTTCTATGAAGAAGGATAGTGGTATTTTAATGGGAATTGCATTGAATTTGTAGATTGCTTTTGGCAGTTTGGTCATTTTCACAATATTGATTGTATCCATCCATGAGCATGGGATGTGTTTCCATTTTTGTGTTATCTATGATTTCTTTCAGCAGTGTTTTGCAGTTTTCCTTGTAGAGGTCTTTCTACTCCTTGGTTAGGTATATTCCTAAGTGGGTTTTTTTTTTCAGCTAACATAAAAGGGGTTGAGTTCTTGATTTGATTCTCCACTTGGTCACTGTTGGTGTATAGAAGAGCTACTGATTTGTGTATATTAATCTTGGATCTGGAAATTTTGCTGAATTCTTTTATCGTTCTGGGAGCTTTCTGGAGGAGTCCTTAGGGTTTTCAAGATAAATGATCCTATCATCAGCAAACAGTGACCAATTGACTTCCTTTTTACCAATTTGGATGCCCTTTATTTCTTTCTCTTGTCTGATTGCAATGGCTAAGACTTCCAGTACCATGTTGAAGAGTAGTGGTGACAGTGGGCATCCATGTCTTGCTCTAGTTCTCAGTGGGAATGTTTTCAACTTTTCCCCATTCTGTATTATGTTGGCTGTGGGTTTGTCATAGGTGGCTTTTATTACATTAAGGTATGTCCCTTGTATGCTGATTTTGCTGAGAGTTTTAATCATAAAGTGATGCTGGATTTTGTTGAATGCTTTTTCTGCATCTATTGAGCTGATTATGTAACTTTTGTTTTTAATTCTGTTTATGTGGTGCATCACATTTATTGACTTGTGTGTGTTAAACCATCCCTGCATCCCTGGTATGAAACCCATTTGATCATGGTGGATTATCTTTTTGCTTTTTTGTTGGATTCAGTTAACTAGTATTCTCTTAAGGATTTTAGCATCTATGTTCATCAAGGATATTGGTGTGTAGTTTTCTTTTTTGGTTGTGTCCTTTCCTGATTTTGGTATTAGGGTGATGCTGGCTTCATAGAATGAGTTAGAGAGGGTTCCTTCTTTCATTATCTTGTGGAATAGAGTCCAACAGATTGGTATTAATTCTTCTTTGAAAGTCTAGTAGAATTCTGCTGTGAATCAGGCTAATCCTGGACTTTTTGGTTGGTAATTTTTAAATTACCATTTCAATCTTGATGCCTGTTATTGGTCTTTTAAATGTATCTGATTCTTTCTGATTTAAGCTAGGAAAGTGATATTTTTCCAGGAATTTATCCATTCTCTTCTAGGTTTTCTAGTTTATGCGCATAGAGGTGTTCATATTAGCCTTGAATGATCTTATGTATTTCAGTGGTGTCAGTTATAATATTTCCTGTTTCATTTCTTAGTGAAGTTATTTGGATTTCCTTTATTCTTTTCTTGGTTAATCTTGCTAATGGTCTATCCATTTTAATCTTTTCAAAGAACCAGCTTTTTGTTTCATTTTATCTTTTGTATTTTTTTGTTTCAATTTAATTTAGTTATGTTCTGATCTTGGTTATTTCTTTCTTCTTCTGGGTTTGGGTTTGGTTTGTTCTTGTTTCTTTAGTTCTTTGAAGTGTGACCTTAGATTGTTTGTGCTCTTTCAGACTTTTTGATGTAGGCGTTTAGGGCCATAAACTTTCCTCTTAGCACCACCTTTGCTGTATCCCAGAGGTTTTGATAGGTTGTGTCATTACTGTCATTCAGTTTAAAGAATTTTTTAATTTCCATCTTGATTTTGTTTTTAACCCAATGCTCATTCAGGAGCAGGTTATTTACTTTCCATGTATTTCCATGGTTTTGAAGGTTCCTTTTGGAGTTGATTTCCAGTTTTATTCCACTGTGGTCTCAGAAAGTGCTTGATATAATATCAATTTTCTTAAATTTATTGAGGCTCATTTTATGGCCTATCATATGGTCTATGTTGGAGAAAGTTCCATGTGCTGTTGAATAGAATGTGTATTCTGCAGTTGGATAAAATGTTCTGTATATATCTGTTAAGTTCATTTGCTCCAAGGTAGAGTTTAAATCCATTGTTTCTTTGTTGACTTTCTGTGTTGATGACCTGTCTAGTGCTGTCAGTGGGATATTGAATTCCCCCACTATTATTGTGTTGCTGTCTATCTCATTTCTTGGGTCTATTAGTAATTGTTTTATAAATTTGAAAGCTCCAGTGTTAGGTGCATATATGTTTAAGATTGTGATATTTTCCTGTTGGATAAGGTCTTTCACCATTATATAATGTCCCTCTTTGTCTCTTTTACCACTGTTGCTTTAAAGTTTGTTTTGTCTGTTATAAGAATAGTTGCCCCACTCTCATTTGGTGTCCATATGCATGAAATACCTTTTTCCACCCCTTTACTTTATGTGCCTCCTTATGTGTTAGGTGAGTCTCCTGAAGGCAGCAGATAGTTGGTTGGCGAGTTCTTATCCATTCTGCAGTTCTGTATCTTTCAAGTGAAGCATTTAAGCCATTTACATTCAATGATAGCATGGAAATGTGAGGTACCATTGCATTCATTGTGCTCTTTGTTGCCTGTGTACTCTAGATTTTTTCATTGTTGTTTTTTGCTTTTGCTTTCAAGCTTGTATTTTTGTTTTATAGGTCCTGTGTGATTTATGCCTTAAAGAGGTTCTGTTTTGATGTGTTTCCAGGATTCCTTTCAAGATTTAGAGCTCCTGTAGTGGTGGCTTGATAATGGCGAATTCTCTCAGCATTTGTTTGTCTGAAAAGAGCTGAATCTTTCCTTCATATATGATGCTTAATTTCACTGGATACAAAATTGTTGGCTGATAATCATTTTGTTTAAGGAGGCTGAAGATAGGGCCTTAATCCCTTCTAGCTTGTAGGGTTTTTGCTGAGAAATCTGCAGTTAATCTGATAGGTTTTCCTTTATAGGTTACCTAGTGCTTCTGTCTCACAGCTCTTATTTCCTTTGTCTTAACTTTGGATAACCTGATGACAGTGTGCCTAAGGCGAAGATCTTTTTGGAATGGATTTCCCAGGTGTTCTTTGTGCTTCTTGTATTTGGATGTATATATATCTAGCTAGGCCAGGGAAGTTTTCCTTGATTATTCCCCCAAATATGTTTTCCAAGATTTTAGAATTCTCTTCTTCCTCAGGAACTCCAATTATTCTTAGGTTTGGTCGTTTAACATAATCTCAGACTTCTTGGAGGCTTTGTTCGTATTTTCTTATTCTTTTTTCTTTGTCTTTGTTGGATTGGGTTAATTCAAAGACCTTGTCTTTGAGCTCTTAATTTCTTTCTTCTACTTGTTCAATTCTATTGCTGAGACTTTCCAAAGCATTTCGTGTTTCTAAAAGTGCATCCAAAGTTTCCTGAATTTTTTATTGTTTTTTTCCTTACACTGTCTATTTCATTGAATATTTCTCCCTTTACTTCTCGTATCATTTTTTGGATTTCCTTGCATTGGGCTTTGCCTTTCTCTGTTCCCTCCCTGATTAGCTTAATAACTAACCCCCTGAATTCTTTTTCAGGTAAATCAGGGATTTCTTCTTGATTTGGATCATTGCTGGTGAGCTAGTGTGATTTTTTTGCAGATGTTGAAGGGAACTGTTTTGTCATATTACCACTGTTGGTTTTCTGGTTCCTTCTCACTTGGGTAGGCTCTGTCAGAGGGAAGGTCTAAGGCTGAAGGCTGTTGTTCAGATTATTTTGTCCCATGGGGTGCTCCCTTGATGTAGTACTCTCCCCCTTTTCCTATGGATGTGGCTTCTGTGAGCCAAACTGCAGTGATTGTTGTCTCTCTTCTGGGTCTAGCTACCCAGCGAGTCTACCCAGATCCTGGTTGGTACTGGCGGTTGTCTGCACAGAGTCCTGCGATGTGAACCATCTATGGGTCTCTCAGCCATGCATACCAGTGCCTGGTCTGGTGGAGGAGGTGGAGGGTGCAATGGACTCCGTGAGGGTCCTAAGCTTTGGTGGTTTAATGCTCTATTTTTATGCTGGTTGGCCAGGAGGTGGCGCTTTCCAGAAACCATCAGCTGTAGTATTGCGGAGAGGGACCCGCAGTAGGCAGGGCCCTAGAACTTCCAAGATTATATGCTCTTTGTCTTCCACTACCAGGGTGGAAAGGGAAGGACCATCAGGTGGGGGAGGGGCTGGGCATGTCTGAGCTCAGACTCTCCTCGGGTGGGTCTTGCTGTGGCTGCTGTGAGGGGTGGGGGTGAGATTCCCAGGTCACTGGAGTTCTATACCTAGGATGGCTTCCTCTGCTGAGTCAGGCAGATTGTCAGGGAAGTCCTGTAAAATCAGCAGTCACAGGCCTCACTCAGCTCCCAGGTAAACCGAAGGGTTGGTCTCACTTCCACCAAGCCCCCGTCCAACAGCCCTGAGTCTGTTTCCAGGTGGAGGGCAAGAGGGGCTTAAAAATTCACCCAAGGCTATCCACCTCCCAGCTGCGAAAGAAAAGGGTTTTGGTTCTTCCCTTGCCTGTGAAGTCTGCAAGCGAGATTTGCACCCTCCCCCGAGTTCTGGCCAGGAGGCTTCTTCCCCTTTCGAATTGTTACAAAATTTGGCTAGAGAATTCCTTCTTTCTGTGGAGTTTTAACCCCTGCTCCTCTGGCCACCCTCCCGATGGATCCCTATGGTGCCAGGCAGAAATGAGCTGCCTGGGGACCCAGCGAGATACCAGGGCCTTCCTGTTGCTTCCTTTACCCCTGTATTTCGCTGGGCTCTCTAACTTGACTCAGCTCCAGGTAAAGTTGGAAACTTCTCCCGCAAACAGACCTTCAGTTTCTCCAGTGAGGGTATCTGTTCGGGAGAGGAGGGTCTCCCTTTTCCACTTCCTCAGTTGGGGCACTCACAGTATTTGGGGTGTCTCCTGAGTCCTACATGAGCAGTCCACTTCCTTGAGAGGGTCTGTGGGTCCTCTCAGGATTGCTGGTTTGTTCTTGCAGTCTATTTGGGGCTAAAATGCACAATGCAAGCCTCCAGATGCTGCTCTGTCTGGATTGCAGATGCTGCAATCTAGTACTCTATCTTATTTAAAGAAAAGTGCCTTACCTCACTTTTCTTATGGCTCAAATTGTACAAAGCCTAAAATATAAGATTTTATCCATGGGAAAAGAAAGTTCGGCAAGAAAACCATTTTACAATGACATGAACACAGTACTAGTAAATTTTTGTCTAGTGAAAACAGACAATAACACAGCCTTTTAAAATAGGAGAGGGAATTGGAGTTCAAAGAATCTGTCTAACATACAATTAGTTGCTAAGAGCAAAACATAAAATGACAGAGCAAGAGACACGCATTTTGATTAAGGCAGTTTGTGTGAAGAACTACTATAAAAGGCAAAGGTATGTTTAAAGTTGATAGTTTGGGGACATCTCACTAGACAGGCAACTTTATTGTTGCTTTCTTTATTTGGTCTCTCCTGAAAATGCTGCTACTTAAAAAATTAATTTGTGTTGGCAGGAAAAAAGCCTCAAATTTGGCGAGCAATTTAGTGACCAGTTTTGCAATGCAGATGCTCTTAATTAACTTGAATGGATGACTCTATCATTTGCTCTCACACAAAGACAATAAGTGCTGCCAAGGAGATTACCATGAACTAAGATGCTTACTGTCGATGTAGAACCATGCAGGACAGCTGGAATAATGAAGGCTTTAAAATTGCTAAGCACTTATCTGTGCATAGGTCAATGAGAAATTTGCTCCCATGGGCAGCTTGATGGGGAAGTCACTCTACCTACCTGCTAAACACATAGTTTATGCATTTGGTTATGCACATCTTTCTGCCCTAATAGGAATTAAGTGGATGCAGAGAAGGCACTTTTTGCTATAAAGGATTGTCTCTGACTTAATTTGAATACTTAACAAAAATGAAAATCTTACTGATTAAAAAAGTTCAGCAGCAATAAAATGACCTATAAAACAGGAAAAAAAGGGTATCATACCTTTGAACCAGGTGGGGCTGTCAAGCCTAAGAAGGCATACACTGCATTATTTTCTCTGGCTTCAAAGAAGGCATCATAGTCCTTGATGAAAAGAAGATAAGATGAATTAGCAATATGCAACCAATAAAAGAAAAAAAGGAAATTTATTCAGCCGAAAGCAGTGGCTCACGCCTGTAATCCCAACACTTTGGGAGGCCGAGGTGGGCGGATCACCTAAGGTTGGGAGTTTGAGACCAGCCTGACCAACATGGAGAAACCCTGTCTCTACTAAAAATACAAAAATTAGCCAGGGGTGGGGGCACATGCCTGTAATCCCCGCTACTTGGAAGGTTGCGGCAGGAGAATCGCTTGAGCCTGGGAGGCGGAGGTTGCAGTGAGCCAAGATCACCCCACTGCACTCCAGCCTGGGCAACAGGAGGGAAACTCCATCTCAAGAAAAAAAGGAGATTTATTCAGAATGACCTGACTGGTCGACAGAATCATCTACCTCCTTGGGGACAGAGAGACTAACTTCCATAATACTAGAATTCTGGAAGGAATAAGGAGTAATAAAGAGGCAAGGCTTCTGGATCTTATTTAATATAGGTTGAAAAGTATGCTATTCTATGTCACAAAAACTGCAGAATGATTTATTCCACATCACATGGAATTTAACTCTGCCTGCAGCTTCCTCCACCATGCAAAACAGCCACCTATTTCCCAGTAAGAAGATGTTTATTTCTGGTCAGACACTGTTGTTTCCATTCACCATATTTCTGTTCCATTATTCATTTAGGTTGAGATTTTCTCAGAGCCTACAATAGACTAGATATTAGCTAGACATGCCCAAGGCCAGAAGAATAGTTAATCTTTGCTGTGTTTTGAGAAAGGCAATGAGATGTCCATGATGCATGACCAGAAGAGCAACCAAACTGCTAAGAGGTTTCAACCTGGGGAATGCAAGAGAATCTTCACATGACTAAATTTGGTTGGGATTCCTACTGTCATCTTATAAGCCACAACACATTCTCAAAAAGTAACAAATAAACTTTCCTAAATTTGGCTGTGATGCATAATCAATAGCAAACATATTTAGAAAATGTAGCCATTGTCTACATCCAGCCTTTGAGTGGATGGAAAGGACAAATGACTATATGCAAGAGATATGACTATATATATGCAGGCTTGGAGGCAGAGGTGAAAATAATGGATAGATTTGGGGCAATCTATTACAATAAACAAGAATTTAAATTGTTTTCTTACCCCGCGATACTGGCTTTCATTGAAAATCTGAGGTGGCAGGGGGTAACCTGTGGCTGGTCGACTATTTTCAGGTACATTTTCTCTCATCCACTTCCGATTCTCTTCATTGGCTGCAATATCTTTTTCTTCAAATCCTATTTTGTTGGCTTCTAGGAAACCAAGCACATCTTGTTGTTTCTTCTTAATCTAGGACCAAAGGACAAGAAACCGTATTTTCCAAATTCAACAAAAGTCAAATGTTTGTGAGCTGGCAGAAATGAATTCAGACAGAACAAAGATTGTGGTTTCACAGAAGTTATATGATTTTCACTCTTTATTATTGTATTGTTAATAATGCCTCACAAGTATATTGAAGAGCTTTTGGTCCACTGGTCCTTTTATCAAGTTGAATTTCTCTTTTTTTTTTCCATTGAAAATTTTCATTATTTAATGATGTACATGCAAAACTAACTGATGCATATCAATATCTAAAAATGCAGTTAACTCCAAATTATGTGCAGTGAAAAGTTATGTTTTCTGATACTCTACAAGCCTCTCTTAGTTTCAGCCTTTCAAGAAAGTTTTTTCCAAATGATGCGTCTGCTTCCCATCTTAACAAGAATTGTATATGCAATAGAAATGAATCTTTCCTTGACAAAGTGCACAGGCTTCAAGAGTCATTCAAGTCTCAATTTTCAGTGTTCAAAACAGAAACTGAACAAGAATATATTAGCTAATCCTACAAACTATAAAGTTTGCAATATATCTGTACCATTCATTAGCCCTTATCATGTGCTGCTAAGGTATCTTTTATGTGTATTATGTATTAGGTTGGTGCAAAAGTAATTGCAGTTTTGGTCATTACCTTCAATAGCAAAAACTGCAATTACCTTTGCACCAACCTAATATGTTCATCTAGATAACCAGGTGGAGATGGCACATGTATTCTGTCTCCTTATCATAGCTAGAAGAGAGCTTTGAAAACAGTAAAATTAATACTATTCAGTTCAGTTTCTCTTCCGACATGCATTTCTTTTAGAACCTGTATTCACACATCAATGGTAATTAACCCCTATTTAAAACCATAACTTAACATTTCTGAGTTATAGGACCGTAATCAATAAGCAAGTTTCTTCATGGAATCACATTAAAATAAAGACACATGGAGTGTTGTCATCAAAAAATAAAATAAAATAAATCTGTCTGCCAATGAGAATAAAAATGCAAAATAAGAAACTCACAATCAAGTCCCTCTCTGGATTTACACCCCTCCATCTACCCCCACATACATGCATATATGCATAAAAGTTGTGTTTTTGTCTTTCTAAGTTGCTCGTGATTGTGATTAAATAATTTTCTCTCTCATCACATAAACTCGGGAAAATAATTCTCAATTTCTCCCAAAAGAAACGGAAAGTTTTCAATGCTATTTAGATTAGGGTACTGAATGTCCCTCTTTAAAGATCAGTTAGAATCTAGCAAAACTTGCTACAAGGTAATTTTTCTAATGGGAATTCTGTTTTTTAATTGGCTTATAAAATCAAACTTTCATTCCTAAATGTAACATATGCCCTCTTTTGAACTGAGAAAAATCAATGTAAAACTCAATAAATAGGAGTGCCTAGTGGACTAATGCACTTGATGAAAGGTTCCATTAAATCAATGGTTTCAATTTCTGAGGTACAGTAGGTGGGTTCAGTCAATGTCAATTGTGTCAAGTAATTTGTCGATCATTAGCATATTTACAAATTTGAGTAGATATAAAGATGTCCTATTAAGACTGTACTTTCAAGGCTGGGCACGGTGGCTCTCATCTGTAATCCCAGCATTTTGGGAGGCTGAAGCAGGAGGATTGCTTGAGCCCAGGAATTCGAGACTGGCCTGGGCAACGTGTGAAAACCCCATACTTTGAGGGAACTTGCATTCCAACAGATTTTTTTTTTTGAATGAGTGAAGAGACATGCTAAGAATTTTACATACATGACCCTGGCAGAATGTCATCAGTCACATTTGCATGAGCAGAGGACCTTTAAGATAAATTATTTTTTGAGGCTTTTCCTACCTTATTGAATGCTTACTTTGTCGAGAACATGACTCACTGTGCTAAGTTAAAATGGTCGCCAGGCCTGGTATCACTAGGCATGATAGTGTACCTTCACTGAAGTAATTACTCTCCAGCCATCAGTTGGAGAGTAATGACCAAGTATTTCTCCCATGCCCTGAGATTGCCTGATGACAAGTACACATACCTACTAGTGTGTTCTACATCTCCATAAAGCTGAACAGAATTGGCCATAATCACACTTTGCTAATAGGTTCTGCCATGTCAAATATGAACTTTTGTTCAGCTTTGAATCTTCAGGGAAAGTTAAAAAAAAATGTTTCCTAACTTGATCAAATTTTCAAGTCCAAAATTTCACATATTAAGTTTATTTCCAAGAAGGAATCTATTCCTTTAATTTTTTTTTTCCAAGATAGGGTCTTGCTGTTTCACCCAGGCTGGAATGCAGTATCATGAGCTTGCATCACTGCAGCTTCAAACTCCTGCACTCAAGTGGAGATTTCTAATATATAAATAATTATTGCTTTTTTTTTTTCTGAGACAGAGTCTAGCTCTGTCGCCCAGGCTAGAGTGCAGTGGCGTGATCTCAGCTCACTTCAAGTGATTTCTTCTGCCTCAGCCTCCTGAGTAGCTGGGATTACAGGCGCACACCACCAAACCCGGCTAATTTTTGTATTTTTAGTAGAGACGGGGTTTCACCATGTTGGTCAGGCTGGTCTCGAACTCCTGACCTCATGATCTGTCCAACTTGGCCTCCCAAAGTGCTGGGATTACAGGCATGAGCCACTGCACCCAGCCAATTATTGTCTTTCTTATACACCTATAGGCACATGTTCACTATAACACACACTTATAAGGGAGCATCTGGTGATGGTAATTTCCTAATTTCCCTAATAGGACTTAAAATAAGGGGACACAGTGAATGCATGAGACTGAAAACCATATATTGCCAGAACCAAGAGGAATAGGTGTCACAAGGGTTCATTTAGAAATAAAATTTAAATTTCTTCCAGGATAAAAATGACTTTGGAGTTAAAAGGCTATTGATACCCTTTTCAGCAAATAAATGCATTTGCAAGTGGACAATGCACTGTCCAGGAATTTAAATAAATATTTTTCAAACAGTAAACCACACCCCTCACCTCTACCGAAAGAATTCCAAGTCATTTCTGTCCACATGTTAGATTTTTGAGATTCAGGGTATTCTTCTCTCCAAAGACACAGAGCAGGTACATTAAACAATTGTTTCCTGGAGTAAACAGTTGTCTTCCCACAAGTCTTAGCAAGCTCCCTTTCTGTCATGCTAAGGGTCAAGTTTCTTTCAAAAAAGGGGAGTGACAAAGTTTCTGCTTTAGAAGGTGCCAGTGTGAATGTTGCAAATACCAAAGAAAGATCAAAACTTCACCAATGATGCTTCAAATGGGAAAATACCCTTTTTATAAAAGAAAGTGTCGACCTTCCAAAAAAAAAAAAAAAAAACCATTTAACCAAAGTGGGAATTTTGCCTTTTTTAATGATCAACCTCTATCACACTTTCTCTACTAACAGTTAATTAACATTGACAGAAGTTCTTGACTATGATGTGCTAAAATATAAAATGATTGTCAGAAGTAATTCAACAATATTTCTTGAGTGTCTCTTAAGTGACTCTCAATGAACTTTGTTAGACTCTCTAAACTAGCTAAAGATAAATAGGCGTGATCCCTTCCTCACATTACAATCTATTGGGAGAGATTAGAAATAGATATATTTAAAAGTTCAATTACAATAGCGTATTTAAATAAGAAGCTAAGACAACAATACAAGGTTGTTAGGTGAGAGGAGCCAAGAGAATGGCAACGCCAATGAGAGAAGAGAGAACAAGCATTTATTGCTATTAGCAATGCCACTTAGACTAAGCTTAATAAGGAGAGCACAAATGTTAGATTTTTAATCCTTCTATATTGCATACAATCTATAGTTCTGGTGAAAGGATGACATACTTAATAAAATTTAATATAACTGGCCAACGGTAGAAACTGAGCTCACAAAGGTGACAGCATATTGAACTAGAACAATGAAGGTACAGTATTACAAAATAAACTTGGAAACTTTCTAAATGGATGCTCACAATTTCTCCTACTGAATTATTACATATAATCGAACTCTATAAATAAATCATGGTGTGTATGTGTATTTGTCTTTTTCCAAACAGGTTATAATTTTTGACTGACTCAGTCAACTTCCTCAAAGAGAAATTCAGATACGGAGTCTCCCTCCATTTGGCTCCATTTATTTCAAATGCTACCCTAGGAAGGGTCACTCTTCATTTTAGAAAAGTAATGAGCCTGGGCCAGGAGCGGTGGCTCACGCCTGTAATCCCAGCACTTTGGGAAGCCGAGGCGGGCGGATAACGAGGTCAGGAGATCGAGACCATCCTGACTAACATGGTGAAACCCCGTCTCCACTAAAAATACAAAAAATTAGCCGGGCGTGGTGTCAGGCACCTGAAGTCCCAGCTACCAGGAGGCTGATGCAGGAGAATGGCCTGAACCCAGGAGGTGGAGCTTGCAGTGAGCCCAGATCTCGCCACTGCACTCCAGCCTGGGCGGCAGAACGAGACTCTGTCTCAAAAAAAAAAAAAAAAGAAAAGAAAAAAAAGAAAAGTAATGACCCTGTCTTTGCCTACTCTGTGTCAAATGATTTAACAGTGGAGTGGATGAGGAGTGAACAAACAGCATTTAAAGCTGCCAATTCAGTCTTTTACTAAGTTACTTACAAAATACATCTAAAAGGAACATCAAATCTGAAACCCCAGTTAGTCAGTTTGGCAATAAGCGAGTGCAGTATTGCCACTGTGTAGTCTTTCAATAACCAAACAGATCTGTGTCTATTCTTAAATGAATACTGCCACGACCTACTAAACTATTGTCTTCCTTTTTTTTTTTTTTTTTGGACGCAGTCTCACTCTGTCACCCAGGCTGGAGTGCAGTGGCACGATCTCAGCTCACTGCAAGCTCTGCCTCCCGGGTTCATGCCATTCTCCCACCTCAGCCTCCTGAGTAGCTGGGACTACAGGCATCCGCCACCATGCCTGGCTAATTTTTTTTTGTATTTTTAGTAGAGACAGGGTTTCACCATGTTAGCCAGGATGGTCTCAATCTCCTGACCTCATGATCCGCCCACTTCAGCCTCCCAAAGTGCTGGGATTACAGGCATGAGCCACCATGCCCAGCCACCATTGGCTTCTTCTTGCTCAATTTCAGGGTTAACCACAGCAAGATACACCTTTTTTTTCAGCTTGTCTGTTTGCAATATTTCCAAAAGTGGTTTGATCACAATGCAACGTAATCTGATGATTATGTGTCTTGGGGTTGCTCTTCTTGAGGAGTATCTTTGTGGTGTTCTCTGTATTTCCCGAATTTGAATGTTGGCCTGTCTTGCTAGATTGGGGAAGTTCTCCTGGATAATATCCTGCAGAGTGTTTTCCAACTTGTTTCCATTCTCCCCATCACTTTCAGGTACACCAATCAGACGTAGATTTGGTCTTTTCACATAGTCCTATATTTCTTGGAGGCTTTGTTCATTTCTCTTTACCAACAAGAAACAAGTCTTGGTTAAAATGTCTAATAAGAATTTTCTTATCATTCCTCACCTGCACCCCTGGCTCCCTAGAGTTCTCGTGACAGATGTTCCAAGATGTGGCAGCATTAAAGTGTAATCTAAGATTTCCTATTTTATTCCTGCTAAAAGAAAAAGAAGATCACTTCCAAGATGGCCAAACAGGAACAGCTCTGGTCTACAACTCGCAGTGAGATTGACACAGAAGACAAGTGATTTCTGCATTTCCAACAGAGGTGCCTGGTTCATCTCACAGGGACTGGATGGACAGTGGGTGCAGCCCACAGAGGGCAAGCCAAAGCAGAGTGGGGTGTTGCCTCACTGGGGAAGTGCAAGGGGTCATAGGATTTCCCTTTCCTGGCCAAGGAAAGCTGTGAGTTACTGTACCTGGAGGAGAAGTACACTCCTGCCCAAATACTGCACTTTTCCTAAAGTCTTCGCAACCAGCCGACCAGGAGATCCCCTCCCATGCCTGGCTTGGTAGATCCCATGCCCACGGAGCCTTGCTCACTGCTAGTGCAGCAGTCTGAGATTGACCTGGGACACGGGAGCTTGGTTGGGGGGGGACGTCCACCTTTGCTGAGGATTGAGTAGGCAGTTCCATGCTCACAATGTAAACAAAGTGGCAGGGCAGCTTGAACTGGGTGGAGTCCACCCCAGCTTAGCAAGGCCTACTGCCTCTCTAGACTCCACCTGTGGGGGCAGGGTATATCTGAACAAAAGGCGGCTGACAGCTTCTCCAGACTTAAAGTTCACTGCCTGGCAGCTCTGAAGAGAGCAGTAGTTCTCCCGACATGGTGTTCGAGCTCCAATAACAGACAGACTGCCTCCTCAAGTGGGTCCCTGACCCCCGTGTAGCCTGACTGGGAGACACCTCCCAGTAGGGGCCAACAGACACCTCATACAGGTGGGTGCCCCTGTGGGACGAAGCTTCCAGAGTAAGGATCTGGCAGCAATATGTGCTGTTCTGCAGCCTCCACTGGTGATATGCAGGCAAACAGGGTCTAGAGTGGACCTCCGGCAAACGCCAACAGACCTGCAGCTGAGGGGCCTGTCTGTAGAAGTAAACCTAACAAACAGAAAGGAATAGCATCAACATCAACATCAACAAAAAGGACATCCACACCAAAACCACATCCATAGATCAGCAACATCAAAGACCAAAGGTAGATAAATCCACAAAGATGGTGAGAAACCAGAGCAGAAAGGTGGAAAATTGCAAAAACCAGAACGCCTCTTCTACAAAGGAACACAACTCCACACCAGCAAGGGAACAAAACTGGATGGAAAATGAGTTTGACGAGGAGACAGAAACAGGATTCAGAAGGTCTGTAATAACAAACTTCCCCGAGCTAAAGGAGCATGTTTTAGCCCATCACAAGGAGGATAAAAACCTTGACAAAAGGTTAGATGAATGGCTAAGTAGAATAACAAGTGTAGAGAAGAGCTTAAATGACCAGATGGAGCTGAAAACCACAGAACAAGAACTTCGTGAAGCATACACAAGCTTCAATGGCTCATTCAATCAAGCAGAAGGAAAGGATATCACTGACTGAAGATCAAATTAATGAAATAAAGTAAGAAGACAAGATTAGAGAAAAAAGAGTAAAAAGAAATGAACGAAGCCTCCAAGAAATATAGGACTATGTGAAAAGACCAAATCTACGTCTGATTGGTGTACCTGAAAGTGATGGGGAGAGTGGAAACAAGTTGGAAAACACTCTGCAGGATATTATCCAGGAGAACTTCCCCAATCTAGCAAGACAGGCCAACATTCAAATTCGGGAAATACAGAGAACACCACAAAGATACCCCTCAAGAAGAGCAACTCCAAGACACATAATCATCAGATTCACCAAGGTTGAAATGAAGGAAAAAATGTTAAGGGCAGCCAGGGAGAAAGGTCGGGTTACCCACAAAGGGAAGCCCATCAGACTAACAGTGGATCTCTCAGCAGAAACCCTACAAGCCAGAAGAGAGTGGGGGCCAATATTCAACATTCTTAAAGAAAAGAATTTTCAATCCAGAATTTCATATCCAGCGAAACTAAGCTTCATAAGTGAAGGAGAAATAAAATAGTTTACAGACAAGCAAATGCTGAGAGATTTTGTCACCACCAGGCCTGCCCTAAAAGAGCTCCTGAAGGAATTACTAAACTTGGAAAGGAGCAACTGGTACCAACCACTGCAAAAACGTGCCAAATTATAAAGACCATCAATGCTATGAAGAAACTGCATCAATTAACAGGCGAAATAACCAGCTAACATCATAATGACAGGATCAAATTCACACATAACAATATTAACCTTAAATGTAAATGGGCTAAATGCCCCAATTAAAAGACACAGACTGGCAAATTGGATAAAGAATCAAGACCCATCGGTGTGCTGTATTCAGGAGACCCATCTCACATGCAGAGACAAACATAGGCCCAAAATAAAGGGATAGAGGAAGATCTATCAAGCAAATGGAAGGCAAAAAAAGCAGGAGTTGCAATCCTGGTCTCTGATAAAACAAACTTTAAGCCAACAAAGATCAAAAGAGACAAAGAAGGCCATTACATAATGGCAAAGGGCTCAATTCAACAAGAAGAGCTAACTATCCTAAACATACATTCACTCAGTACAGGAGCAGCCAGATTCATAAAGCAAGTTCTTACAGACCTACAAAGAGACTTAGACTCCCACACAATAATAATGGAAGACTTTAACACCCCACTGTCAATATTAGACAGATCAATGAGACATAAAATTAACAAGGATATCCAGGACTTGAACTCAGCTCTGGACCAAGCAGACCTAATAGACATCTACAGACCTCTCTACCCCAAATCAATAGAATATACATTCTTCTCAGCACCACATCGCACTTATTCTAAAATTGACCACATAATTAGAAGTAAAACACTCCTCAGCAAATGTGTAAGAACAAAAATCACAACAAACTGCCTCTCAGACCACAGTGCAGTCAAATTAGAACTCAGGAGTAAGAATCTCACTAAACAGCACAACTACATGGAAACTGAACAACCTACTCCTGAATGACTAATGGGTAAATAATGAATGAAGGCAGAAATAAAGATGTTCTTTGAAACCAAGGAGAACAAAGATACAATGTACCGGAATCTCTGGGACACATTTAAAGCAGTGTGTAGAGGGAAATTTATAGCATTAAATGCCCACAAGAAAAAACAGGAAAGGTCTAAAATCGAAACCGTAAAATCACAATTAAAAGAACTAGAGAAGAAAGAGCAAACAAATTCAAAAGCTAGCAGAAGACAAGAAATAACTAAGATCAGAGCAGAACTGAAGGAGATAGAGACACAAAAAAAACCCTTCAAAAAAAAATTAGTGGATCCAGGAGCTGGTTTTTTGAAACAATCAACAAAATAGATAGACCCCTAGCAAGACTAATAAAGAAGAAAAGAGAGAAGAATCAAATAGATGCAATAAAAAAGGATGATGAGGATTTACCACCAATCCCACAGAAATACAAACTACCATCAGAGAATACTATAAACACCTCTACGAAAATAAACTAGAAAATCTAAAAGAAATGGACAAATTCTTGGACCCATACACCCTCCCAAGGCTAAACCAGAAAGAAGTTGAATCTCTGAATAGACCAGTAACAGGATCTGAAATTGAGGCAATAATTAATAGCCTAGCACCCAAAAAAAGTCCAGGACCAGACGGATTCACAGACAAATTCTACTCGAGGTACAAAGAGGAGCTTTATTGCATGCGTAGTTCCTTCTGAAACTATTCCAATCAACAGAAAAAGAGGAAATCCTACCTGACTCATTTTATGAGGCGAGCATCATCCTGACACCAAAGCAGGGCAGAGACACACACAAAAAAGAGAATTTTAGGCCAATATCCCTGATGAATATCGACGTGAAAATCCTCAATAAAATACTGGCAAACCGAATCCAGCAGCACATCAAAAAGCTTATCCACCACAATCAAGTCAGCTTCATCCCTGGGAGGCAAGGCTGGTTCAACACACAGAAATCAATAAACGTAATCCATCACATAAACAGAACCAACGACAAGAAGCACATGATTATCTCAATAGATGCAGAAAAGGCCTTTGACAAGATTCAACAGCCTTTCATGCTAAAAACTCTCAATAAACTAGGTATCAGTGAAACGTATCTCAACATAATAGGAGCTATTTAGGACAAACCCACAGCCGATGTCATACTGAATGGGCAATAACTGGAAGCATTCCCTTTGAAAACTGGCACAAGACAGGGATGCCTTTTCTCACCACTCCTATTCAACATAGTATTGGAAGTTCTGGCCAGGGCAATCAGGCAAGAGAAAGAAATAAAGGGTATTCAATTAGGAAAAGAGGAAGTCAAATTGTCTCTGTTTGCAGATGACATGATTGTATATTTAGAAAACCCCATCGTCTCAGCCCAAAATCTCCTTAAGCTGATAAGCAACTTCAGCAAAATCTCAGGATGCAAAGTCAATGTGCAAAAATCACAAGCATTCCTATACACCAATAACAGACAAACAGAGAGCCAAACCATGAGTGAACTCCCATTCACAATTGCTACTAATAGAATAAAATACCTAGGAATCCAACTTACAAGGGATGTGAAGGACCTCTTCAAGTAAATATACAAACCACTGCTCAAGGAAATAAGAGAGGACACAAACAAATCGAAAAACATTCCATGCTCATGGATAGGAAGAATCAATATCGTTAAAATGGCCTCACTGCCAAAAGCAATTTATAGATTCAATGCTATCCCCATCAAGCTACCACTGACTTTCTTCAAAGAATTGGGAAAAACTACTTTAAACTTCATATGAAACCAAAAAACAGCCCGCATAGCCAAGACAGTCCTGGGCAAGAAGAACAAATCTGAAGGCATCACACTATCTGACTTCAAACTTTACTACAAGGCTACAGTAACCAAAACAGAATGGTACTGGTACCAAGACAAATATATAGACCAATGGAACAGAACAGAGTCCTCAGAAATAACACCACACATCTACAACCATCTGATCTTCGATAAATCTGACACACGCAAGCAATGAGGAAAAGATTCCCTATTGAATAAATAGTGTTGGGAAAACACTATTTTTGCTAGCCATATGCAAAAATCTGAAACTGTACCCCTTCCTTACACTGTATACAAAAATCAACTCAAGATGGATCAAAGACTTAAATGTAAGACCTAGGACCATAAAAATCCTAGAAGAAAACCTGGGCAATACCATTCAGGACATAGGCATGGGCAAAGACTTCATGTCTAAAACACCAAAAGCAATGGCAACAAAAGCCAGAATTGATAAATGGGATCTAATTAAACTGAAGAGCTTCTGCACAGCAAAAGAAACTATCATCAGAGTGAACAGGCAACCTACAGAACGGGAGAAAATTTTTGCAATCTGTCCATCTGATAAAGGACTAATACCCAGAATCTTCAAATAACTTAAACAAATTTACAAGAAAAAAGCAAACAACTGCATCAAAAAAATGGGCAAAGGATATGAACAGACACATCTCAAAAGAAGACATTTATGCAGCCAACAAACACATGAAAAAATGTTCATCATCACTGGTCATTATAGAAATGCAAATCAAAACCACGAGATCGCCAGTTAGAATGGCGATCATTAAAAAGTCAGGAAACGACAGATGCTGGAGAGGTTGTGGAAAAATAGGAATGCTTTTACTCTGTTGGTGGGAGTGTAAATTAGTTCAACCATTGTGGAAAACAGTGTGGTGATTCCTTAAGGATCTAGAACTAGAAATACCATTTGACCCAGCCATCCCATTACTGGGCATATACCCAAAGAATTATAAATCATTCTACAATAAAGACACATGCACATGTATGTTTATTGCAGCACTATTCACATTAGCAAAGACTTGGAACCAACCAAATGTCCATCAATGATAGACTGGATTAAGAAAATGTGGCACATATATGCCATGGAATACTGTGCAGCCATAAAAAAGGATGAGTTCATGTCCTCTGCAGGGACATGGATGAAGCTGGAATCCATCATTCTCAGCAAACTATCACAAGATCAGAAAACCAAACACCGCATGTTCTCACTCATAAGCGGGAGTTGAACAATGAGAACACTTGGACACAGGGAGGGAAACATCACACACCGGGGCCTGTGGCGGGTGTGGGACTAGGGGAGGGATAACATTGGGAGAAATACCTAATGTAGGTGACCGGTTGATGGGTGCAGCAAATCACCATGGCACGTGTATACCTAACTGTAACAACACTGCACGTTCTGCACATGTAACCCAGAACTTAAAGTATCATTAAAAAAAAGAAAAAAAAAAAACTCTACTCTGTTTTCTTTTTTAGTTGCACTTCTACCACAATCATGCCTGCAGTACCTTTTCTAAAAACACGTTAAGGCTTACATAATTTCAAAAATAGAGTCTAGTGTGAAAAGTAAGCAGCTCCTTAAAGGATGTTTCTCAAAAACTGCTATGTCTTCAGGTGTTAACAGTAAAAAAAAAAAAAAAAAATACAGTCATTCCCAGTTTCTGGGTTAAAAGGGTTTTTCTTCTTGACTATGAAATCAGTTCTGAATAACTTTATCCACTTCTTTTTTATCTGGAATTACTATCTGTCTATACTTTTTTCTGGAGTCAGAAAGAACATTATTTAGTCATTTTCCCATTTCTTCAGAGATGGCTTCATGAGGCTGTGAAATAAGGAGCACTGAGAGTAACATCCTACCCTAAAGCCAATTCTACTCTCGGTGCCTGAAACTCTACCATTACTGATTCCCTACTTTAGTCTTCACAGAAAGGGCAGACAGTGAGCATATTTGAAGTAGAGGGAGGGACCACCTAGAGTGAATCAGGTAATGAAGACAGTGAAGTTTCTTTGTCTCAGAATTTTGCCTAGAGTTGCCCCTATATATATTCTAACAGAGGGTCACATAATAAAGGAATAGGAAAAGCCTCCCAAGATAACCCCAAAAGGAAATTTCCAAGCCTTACTATATGTTAGCAGCGAGATATGCACAGGATAAAATCGTTTACGGACAGAAGACTAACATTTGTTGAGTGCTTGTTAAGTGTTTTCTGAATATCAAACCCTTTTTGGGGTGGCTATCCATTTCACGGCAAAGGAAACAGGGGCTCAGAGATGTTAAGAAACCTGCTCAGTAAGACAGAGCTATTAATGGTCTTTAAATCAAATTACATGTCTAAATTTAGCTGACTACAAAGCCTTGTTTTTGTTTTGTTTTGTTTTTCATTACTTACAGTACACTACTTTCATGGGGGGGATATACTAGACATACTCCAAATTCAGCTGGAGACTGACATATGAGCGAGTTCCTTCTAAACTATGTAACTAAGTAAGACACCAAAGGTTGAGACATCTTATATTCTGTCCTAAATATCCCTTATGAGTGAACATGAATTCCTAGTTATTATAATCTCCTTTCTCTTGACCAGCCTTAACTGACTTCAACGAAGTCCTAACCCCCTATTATGTGGGCTTGCATGAACACAGGCAGTATGCACACAGGAGAACTGAGTAGAACACCACGAGGCCTCTGGTTTCTGGACCACACCGAGAACAATACAGCACATGCCTCCGCTTTGTCAAGAGTTCAGTTACCTAATAGTTTTGAGTGGGCAAAGTTAGTGTGGAAGATATAATTTCTGTACTTCAAATTTACAAAAAAAACAGACAAGAAAGTGCAAAGGCATCAGACCCTTTCTGTTCTTTTTATTTTTCTTATTACACACTGCACCCATCACTTTAAAAAAAAAATGCCCAACGAACTTTTTAAAGAGCAAAACGATCTAATTACAATGTATTTCTTTTGAAAGCAGAAACAAGCTTTGAGTCAGTAACAATAAAGGGACTAAAGTTCCTTCTGACTATGGAAAACAGCATGGACAGAGAAAAGTTCCAGACAAGAAAGGTCTGGATACATGAGATTATTCAGAAGTGATATTTCATTTAGTTAAGAAAGAGCCTTTTTAATCCAGAAAGTGGGCATGGCTGTACTTTCACCTCTTCAGGTGAAATCGTCCCCACATAGTCTTGTCTTATCAAACGTACATGCCAAGACAGTTGTTAGCTGATTAATATATGACAGACATAAATTTGGCCAAAGGCTGAAATTCAAAGAATTGAAACACATACAGTTACCCAACTGCTACTGAGGTTCCCTGTGGCCGGTTCCAACCCCTACCCTCTCTGACTGTTTAACTTTCAATGCCCTGCATAATGAGGCCCAGCTTCATCTGCCTCTGTAAAAGTATGCAGCCTCCTCTCTCCCAGATCAGATCAGGCTGCCTTTATTCTCCTCTGAACATGTCATGCCCAACACTCCAGTGCTTTTTCTCTCTTTGTTCCCTTCATCTGCAAGTCTCCCCTCTCTCCACTGATGCCATTCTAATCTATTCTTCCAGGTCTACTCTGTGAAGTTCTCTGTGGCCACTCCATCTGACCTCCTGCAGTTTTTACCACCCAGTTTGGAGCTTAATCAAAGAGTACCAATGTTTGCCAATCATTTCACATGTCAAAGTCACATCTCTTCAGTTAGTTGATAGGCTATCTGGAGGTAGGGACTATGCCTTTTGCTTTTGTCTCCCCATATAGTGCTCACCACAGGGCTGGACACAAAGTAGATACTAAAACTGATTGATCTCACAATTTTATTTTAAACTCAGCACCACCAAAATGTTTTTAGATTTTAATTATAATAAACTTTAATTCTGGAATGCAATTTACATTTACAGAAAATTTGCGAATATAGTAAAAAGTCTCCATATATCACTCACCCAGTTTCTGCTGTTGTTAACATCTTACCTCATAGTGGTACATCTGTCACAACTAAGAAGCCAACATTGGTATGATACTACTAACTAAACTCCAGCCTATTTGGATTTCATCAGCTTTTCTAATAATGTTCTCTTTCTGTTCCTTTCCAGGGTGTGTCAGTACACTTATTTGCCATGTCTCCTTAGTCTCCTCTGGGCTGTAAGAGTTTCTCAGACTTTTCTTATTTCCTGTGACCCTGACAGTTTTCAGGGGCCCTGGTTAAGTATTTCGTAGAATGTCCCTCAGGTCAAGTTTGTGTTATGCTTTTCTGATAATTATACTGGGGTTATGGATATTTGGGACAAATACCACAAAGAAGAAATGCCTTTCTCATCACATCATGTCATAGGGCATATTATAGCAACGGACTTATTGATGGTGATATTAACCTTGAATAACTGGTTATAGTAGTGTCTGCCAGAGTTCTGCACCTTTTATCCCTTTTCATCACTGTATATTTAGAATAAAGTCAATAAATCCAGCCCACACTCAAGTAGTCAAGGTGCTTTTATAAAAGCTCCTACTGCATAGTGGGACTCTGACCATACTTTCTAGAGTTTCTGGGAAGTTTGAGAAAAGTAAGGTGGCTGTAATCAGCAACCTATGATAGTTTATTAAAAAGTAATATACATCAGTCTTTGAGGCTGACTGGGCAGGATTTTTCATGGTTTGACTCTTATTTGGAAATATTTATTCAAAATAAATCTCCTGGATTAAACATCTCATGTACCAAATTAAATTGATGGGTTCTCCAAAATTGATTGGAGAAAACTCCATTTATTAGTGGTGTTTACTTATGTTTTTAGTCACTTTTTTGATGCCAGATATTCCTCCCACCCTTTAAGTACTAACGCCTGTGGAATGTACAATATGCCTACATGCATTCTTTTTACCTAGGATTTGAATACAGGGAGGCATTGTTCATAGTTACCGTTTGCACACAGATTCTTATCCATTCCCAACTAGCAAAGTACTTCCTTATTCTCCAAATCCTAGATGAAAGCTGATCAGAAGAAAGAGTCCTCAAAAATGCCCAGGGCCCTACAAAGTATCCTTCTAGCATATCCTATGGTAAAGAGATAGCATCTGCTTTACCAAAACACAAAAAGATTGGAGCACAAAATTTTTACAAGATTTAGAGCTCTGACCGCACATATGTTATGGGCTCCTCCATCACAGAGAGACACTTTAGGCTATCAGAAGGTGCTCTGTAATTATTTCCAAATTCAGGAGGATTTCAATTTGAGGCTGTGTTCTGAAAATACTGGAAGACAGATACTGTCTTCTTATAATTCATATCAATAAGAGCTACCATTTGTAGGTCAATTAAGTGATAATAGCTATAGCAGGCACTTTGCATATATTATTTCATTGAATAGTTATAGTAGCCCAGCAAGGTAGATATTATTATCTCCATTTTACAGACTAGAATACTGAGATTCAAAAAGGTTAAGTAAATTTATCCACAGTCACAAAGCAACTGGGTGTCAAGGCTGGAATTCAAACTTAGATATCCCTAACTCTAAATCTTAAGTTTGTTCCACTACTTTTCACTGTCTAGCCTCATGATATTTTATATGGCTTTTTTCTTAAGAGATTTTTATAGAAGGTCGACAATCTTTTACAACTAATATCACTTTTGATGTGTTCTTGCTAAATAATTTAAATTTAACTTCTACTTACCAGTCTGTGATTTTGCTTCCTTTTTTTATCCAAATGAGTATGTACACAATTTAATCAATTTCTACATCATTATAAACAAAATCAGTATAATACCCAATTTCAGCTCTAAGATCTTCTGCTTCTAGGGAAGGATCAGTGTTCGACTCCTGCCTAATAATGTTAGGAGCTATAGTTCAATCAAGATGATAGTCCCTGAGTACACATTGAGCCTAATGGCCACTGTTCTTACCCTGATGTAAGTAAAACTAAAATAAAGATAGTAGTTATGGTCTGAAGGAACTTTAATTATAATTATAAGGTCACAAATTCCATACTAGTAGATAATTTAATGATGGAATCTAACGAGCCCTTAATCAAAGTTTGGCCTCTTTCTGCTACAAGTAAGTGGGTATATTAGGGCTGGGCTCATAAGAAGAAACAGTGAGACACAGACCCCACTTTAGAGTGTGCTAGCAATGGGTTATGGAATTCTATATGTATTAAGTCTCTCTCTGTATTGCAGATATAATTGTATTGTAAAGTATAATACAATAATTATTATGTATTAAGTGCTTCCTATGGGCCAGGCACTGTGCTAAGCTCTTTACATGCTTATTTTATTTAATTCTAACAATAACCTTATGAGACAGCTGTTATTATTTTCATTCCAAATTCATAGATAAAGAGACAAATGCTCAGATGGATTAAGGAACATGCTCCAAGTTACACAGTTACCCATGCTCTGTCAGACCAAAAAGCACCATTTAAACACTAAGCCTACGAATAACAAAATCACGCACTACAATGTATGTTGTCTCATGCTAATTACACTGTCTGCCAACTTAATGAAGCCTCCTTGAGTGCAGATATGACTCATAATACTTTTGCATTATGCTTAATTCTAAAGTTTGGCCTAAGAAAAAACAAGAATACCTGTTGGTTATTTTGAGTATTTTGAAGGTTTTATACACCATAGGTTTTTTTAGGTAATCATTTTGTCCTTTCCCAGTCTGAGATTATGTGATAATGAAACAAAGAAACATGCCAGCAGCAATAAAAGCCTCCTGGATCTTTAAGATTTCGTAAGAAAAAGTTTCTGTGAAGAAGCAATGATTCATATGAATTACAATGACTTTACCAAAATAAAGTCCTATCTCCATTTGAAACTGTTTTCATGTATTTAGTCAAATAAAGTGTGAAGTTAAGAACATTCCACAACAGTGCTTCCATAACAGTGTCAGTGGCTTCTGACCATAGGTGGCTACAGAAAATGAGTAATAAAAGGGAAATAGAGGAACAAGTATTTTAGGTTGTTCTGAGGGCTTTGGGAGTAGGTGCCTTAAAGCAAAAGCCTTCCTTGAAACAAATCACACTGTCACAATCAAGTACCAAAACTAAATTTGTGACAAGTGCTAGCCTAGCATATGTTGACCTTCCATTTCAAAAATTTCTGACTAGAGTTACACTAAGATTTTGAAAGCAAACAAACCAGTTCATTCCAGCTTCCACTTCCCTGCCCTTATCACTACCATTACCAATTCGGTACAGTGAGTTTCTGCATAGATTTCAATTCTCTCTAGGGGAACTTTGTCAAGGGACAAGTTCAAGAATCTAGAGAATCAAGGGAATCTGACTAGTTATAAGGACCATTAAGAGCTATGAAATGATGATTATTTTATAGTCTGTAAGATGTTCTCCAACTCACCACCTTCTCTATGCAACAAAGACAATCCACATCCTAAAACCACACTTCCTACAAATGCTACAGTGCTTCTAATTTTGGTCAGACAGATCCTCCAGGCAGCCTTCCCATATAAGGATAAGCAAAAATACACAAACCTTCAAACAGGCTGATGTGAGGTCACAGGGCAGGCATATGCAAACCAAATTTGGTAGCTAAATTCTCCAGCTCACAACAGATACTTTTAAAAACAGACTGTAACTACAAACTCCAAACTATCAGTTCTTGAATCACAAGAAAAGTAATAATCAATTAATCTGTTCTTGTTAGTGTTAACTGGATGAAAACTATGAGCCAGTCTACTGTGTATAACATTAGCTTTTTTTCTTTTTACTTTTCTATTGCAGAAAACCCTACTGTAAAATGTGCTGCTAAAGTGGATACATACAATAGCAGAGTACTGCATCTAAATAGATAAATTAGTCCAATCTGTCCCTGTACACAAGGAAATACAGATTTCCCAAATGTCCTGTGAGAATAGCCTCTGATCTATTGTAGGAAAGGCACTGTCCTACACTGTGACCAGGAAAAATATCCATAGACATGACATCATTTGATATGAAGGGTAAGGCAGTATCCTGAGGGTATCCATGTCTTCCACTTGAACTCCAGGGTAGACTAAGACCCTTAGAAATGGCCCATGGCCATGAAGAGAAGATAATTCTCCCCACTTCTCTCAACCAAAACACCTTGATTTAGGACAGGTTAAGATATTGTCTTTCCAGTGATCACAGAGTTCCTAATAGCACTATCATATGCCTTGGAAATTTTGAAGGCTGTTAATTAAGTCAGTCAAATAAAATCAGAAATATTTTGATAGCATGCACCCAGAGCCATGGAAATGTTCATGTTATTTGATCCAGTAATTTCACTTCTGGATTCCTAGTTTAAGTAAATAATCCAAAAGACGGCAGAATTCTGAGTCTGAAGTAGTTATGTAACTGTGTTCTGTTGTTGTTGTTCATTTACTTGTTTTCAGCAGTGGAAGATTGAAAGTTGCCTGCATATCCAATCATTTGGATCTGATAAAATAAATGTTTGGTGGCATGGACAGTTGAAAGAATGTTGTGAGCACTCTGAAACTGACAGCTATACAATTCTTCAGCAACAGGAAAAAATGTTAATGATATCAAAATTGAGAAAGGAATTCTGGAGAATAATATATTTGCTCTGATTTCAGCAGTAAAAAGGAGAACTGTGTATATTTTTTAAAGACTAACAGGAAGTCAAACACCATCATTATGATGGCTTTGAGACAGCAGGCATGAGTACCTAGCACCTTGCTCAGGAGACTCATTGAACTGTGTTGGGATCATGAGATTATGGGGATTTTACCCCTAAACTTTTCTAATAGTGTTATATAGCTTTACAGAATTTTAAAAAATCAATTCATAGATGTTGAGCTCTTACTAGATGCAGCATGGTACAGTGGAACAATTACAGATTGTGGAACCTGTGACCCACTCTAATGTGGCCCCACCATGTTCCCCACCTCCTGGTGTTCACTCCCTTGTATGCTTCCCTCCCCTTGAGTGTGGGTAGGATCTGCTATTTGCTTCCAACCAATAGAATTTGGCAAAGGTGATAGGATGTCACTCTAATGATGATGTTATGTTATAAAATACTTTTTCTAGAAGACTCACACTAGGGTCTTTCTTTTTCTGGCTATGAAGAAGCAAAATGCCATGAGCACTACAGCCTCAAAGAAATGAATTTTGCCAACATTCATATGAGCTTGAAAATTGATTCTGCCATAGTGGAGCCATCAGATTGAGAAGTCAGTCCTTGCTGACACCTTGATTGTAGTCTTTTAGAGGAGAACTCAGCTAAGCTGTGCCAGGACTCCTGACCCATAGGCACTGTGATGTAATAAGTGTGTGTTGTTTCAAGCCACTAAATACTTAGTATTTGTTACACAGCATAGAAAACTAATACAGAACCTGACTGACTTGCATTTGAATCTCAAATCCTCCATTTATCTGTGTGACTGAGCAACTTGATTAACTTCTCTGAGTCTCAAATTCCTCATCTATTAGTTGAGAGTCATAATACCTACCTCTCAGAATCGTTGCACAGAAAATTATATATAACAGATGCAATGTGCCTATTGCACTGCCTGTCAAAAAATAAGCTAGATTGTTAATTATAAGCTCTCTCATGGCTGATCATGTTATCTAGTGCCTGCTATCATATCTGTGACCCATAGCGGGTATTCTATAAATATGTAGAGAATAAACAAATTAATAAATGATAATAAGTACTCAAGGATTGGTAGCTAGTATTTTAAATATACATAAGAAACTAGAGATATATAGAGTTGAGAGAAAATCCCTCCCCTCAAGCTATTAAAACTAATGAATGACAGAATAATGCATCAACCATAATATAGGAAAGTCTTCCTAGGGCAGTATAATAGTGAAGGTATGTAAATGAAGAACTGGACTTTGGGATCAAACATAAGAAAACTGTATCTGCACAATTCAATAAAATGTTTCTTAAGCTGCTGTCAATATCAATAGAAACAACAAATAGGGATGATAAAGTGTTTAAAGAAAGCAATATAGTTGCTAGGTAGCACGATCAGCCAAGTAGTTTACAATACGCTGGGCTGATGCCTAAGCATTAATGAAGCCTAATAACTTTCCTCACTCACATCATGGGGCTCTGAGAAACAAGATAGGCTACTTTGTATGCCCAGTAAATGTTTGAAGGATCACTGGGAAACTGTAAATTTCTCCCTGAGAAACTTAAGAAGACATAACAATTTATTGAATTACAGCAAAACTCCAAAAGTGTTCTGCTCAGAAAAAGGGCTGACCAAAGTAAGAAATTATATCTTGATAATGATCCATAAAAAGGAGCTTCTAAAGTAAGAGAATCTAATAAGAAAGTTGACTGGCAGTTAAATACTGTGGAGCAATATATTTCTGGAGCGCTAAGTCAATTCCCATCAAAGAACATCCTGCCAAATTGTAAAATTGCTCTTTTTCTTAGATTGGCACCTATTAAATTGTTTCAAATGCAAAAGCATTCTCTCTCTCAATGAATAGATAAATCTGAAGCAGTAGAAAACGTTCTGAAGTTAAATAAATCTGAACCTCAATCCCTATACTCAAAACCTACTCATGTACTTAGCTAGTGTTCACTGTGAAAATCCACCAACATTTGTTTCTGAAAAAGGGGGAAAACCAAAAACATTGTGAAATAATGAGGAGTAAGGAAGTTATTGACATAATCTCCGAAAGTCCCCCAAATCATTCTATGAAGAAGACTAATAATACCCATAGAAACACACATGAAAATTCTCAGAAATGCAACTCCTAATGATTCTAGGTTGAAATAAATGTACTTCTCCACTTCCCTTTATTTTTCCAATGGGAAAAAAAGCTATTTCTCCATAGGCCTTTCTGTATTTTCATCCCAGTAAAACGTCTCTTTGTTAGAACCAAATTTTCTCTCAATACAACAAAAATATTTTAAGGCAATGGCTTTTTTAAACTCAAAAGTGTTATTACAGTGGCAACCATAAATAACTGAACTATAAATAAAGTGAAAGAAGGGGAGCAAAACAGAAAATTATTCAGGGGTCTGACCTATTGCTAATGGCATCACTCTGACAGAATCGCAATCTAACACTCACTGTGAAGCAAGCCCTCAAATGCAGGAAAGAATCATAATCCTTTGGCAGATTGTTCAAATTCACTGAAATGGCACACAATGCCCCAATTCAACTTATATAAATTCATTTTATATATCCTTAATAATTATTATTCTATTAAATGTTTAACAGCAGAAGATAGCAAATCTTTGTACACATTATATAACTGGGTAATTTCCACAGAAAATTCTCTCAGAATTTTAGATCACAGGATCAGCTTTCAAAACAATGAAACCCTTGTCTAACTAAATAGCATGCTTTATTAACTTCATATAATGAGACAAATAGGCATGCCTTTATTTTTCACACACTGAAAAATTAAACATAGCCACCCATTTCAAAACTAACCTTCAGTTACAGTCTATTCAGGGTAAAAGAGTGTAAATGGCCTTCCACAAACATAGGATGATTGCAATTTTGCTTTTTAAAAGAATTTGTGGCTGGGTGTGGTGGCTCACGCCTGTAATCCCAGCACTTTGGGAGGCTGAGGGGGGCGGACCATGAGGTCAGGAGATTGAGAACCTCCTGGCCAACATGATAAAACCCCGTCTTTACTAAAAATACAAAAATTAGCCAGGTGTGGTGGCGCACGTCTGTAGTCCCAGCTACTGGGGAGGCTGAGGCAGGAGAATCGCTTGAACCCAGAGGCAAGGGTTGCAGTGAGCCGAGATCGTGCCACTGCACTCCAGCCTGGCAACAGAGCGAGACTCCATATCAAAAAAAAAAAAAAAAAACTTAAGAAAGAAGTTGTAAGAATCTCCACAAAGCAATGTATATTAATAAATGTTGCTTAACAATCTAAAATCTGTTTACATCAATGCCTCTTCAAGGCTGCACACTCAGTTGGTAAATAAGTCTTGATCAAGTTACTTTCACACACAAAAATACTGCATTTCCCTGGTCACCCTCTCTAGGCTGGTCTGGGAAAATAACTGTTAAACATCTGTCACTGATGGTGGGTCCACATGGTAATCATCATACCTGAAGGGCTCCCCATGACTAAAGAAAACACACACAACAAAAGCAAATACTACCTTTTCAGACTATGTTAGCTGTAGCACTGGGCTTTTTCCTCTATAGTTGGTAAAGTGATAAGATTTCATTACAAAAGAAATTAAACACTTTCCTTTCAAGGGAGCCTAGCAACTTAGATAATTGTTTACCCACCAAAACAAATTTATTTGCCATAGGAAGAAGAACTAGTCTGAAGCCACAGCGGTGTGCCCCAGATGAACATACCAGAAAGCACTAAGAATGTACTCTCAGACACAAGCCAAAAAAACATGGTCCAAACTGCCCAGCTGAGAACAACTGCCATATATTACCTAATTGGTTAAATAAGACCAGAATCAAATGATCCAAGAAGTTAACCAACTAGCAAACAAAAGGTGCTAAAATAAAAGGGGCTTGGGTCATATAATTCTATGGGCTCATTACTGAATTTCTGTGCAATTAATTGTTAGCATAGTTATTTGAACTATGACTATCAAGAACAACAGTATGTCCAGAAATAAGAACTACTGTCAAGAATGGTGGAGTCTGAGATTTTACCCTACTTGCAAACTAACTTGTAAGCCTAACACAGTTTTAAGGATGCTGGCAGATAACACGAGACCCCTGGGCCACAGATACAGCAGTAATCAGAGTATCAGCATTTTCTTTTACCTGCTTCCTGATCCTCAATTTCTACATGATGATACAGAGGGAAAGGATACATAATCTGAATCCTTTATACTGGACAGTAAGCAAATCTACCCTTTGCTCTGAAGGGAGACACTATATCTTTCAAGGATATTTGCATCTTTGAAAAGATAATACAGAACAAAAGCAGTCAGTGCCACTGCTCACAAGATGTGCAAAAAAGCAAGAAATCAATAAAAAATCGTATGCCAACATCTACCATTTACAAGTTATTTTGACTATTATAAAGTGTCCAGCTCTTGTCTTACAGATTTTTGAAAGGGAAGGTCATCTGAACATCAAATGTTGTGTTGAGTGATTAAAACCTGTAATTTCACCACCTGGTTGAACAGAAAATTGTGGGTGTTAAGTTGTATAACAATTCAATTAAAAATAGGAGTCATGGATGCTTGAAGAATCCATCAAGTGCCTGGCAAAGTGGCTCACGCTTGTAATTCCAGCACTTTGAGAGGCCAAGGTGAGAGGTTTGCTTGAGGCCAGGAAATTGAGGCTGCAGTGATCCATGACCATGCCACTGGGTAACAACCCAGGTAACAGAGCAAGACTATCTCAGAAAAATAAAAAAACAAACAAACAAACAGAAAAAAACAAAAATAATCCATCAAGCCAGACTGAACTCTTCCATCTCCAGGGATGATAATACAATTCCTTCATCACTCTCTTGTTAAGTGGGTTATTTATGTGTGAAATCAATTATTGTGATCCACATTACATCTTTACCTATTTTCACTCTAAAAGCAAATCTCCATATATTTACCAAAAGACGAAAAGTAAACCATGGCCTCATTTTAAAGTATAGACAAGCTGCAAAGCATTTATTCACTCTATGAACATGTTTTTGCCATAAGCATTTTGATCCTGATTCAGAGAATCACTTATTGACATAAATCTAATAGTATTCAAGTTGAAAAAAGAAAATAACATAGAATCCTTATTGAAAGTAAAGTGTATGAAAAAAGAACTCTAATGTCTTGTGTTATTACTCAAATGTTGTGTAAGCAGAACTGCTTTTTTCTCTTGTTTGTTTTAATTTTATCAATATTAGTAGTAAGTATAAATTACAGGAAATAAAATTGTAGAAATTCAAATACTCATTTTACCCACTGATTTTTAAAAATGCTGAACTGCTTACCAAAAATGTGGCTAAAACCTGTTTAAGATCCAGTGGGAAGCCATATACTAAAACAAGCTAGTCCAACCGGGGACCCAAGGGCCACATGTGGCCCAGGACGGCTTTGAATGTGGTCCAACACAAATTCATAAACTTTTTAAAAACACTATGAGATTTTTTTGGAATTTTTTTTTAGCTCATCAGATATCATTAGGGTTACTGTATTTTATGTGTGACCCAAGACAACTTTTTTTCCAATGCGGCCCAGGGACGCCAAAAGACTGAATACCCCTTTACTAAAAAGCGAAGTTCAGTTATAAGCCAGTTTCCATGGTGAGACAGTAAGATACATTTTCTCCATTAAAATGATGCATTCATATGCACAACTGGAATGATTTATTCTAAAGTATCTTAGATGATTTATTCTAAAGTATCACTTAGTGATCCAACAATAGATAATTTATTGAAATATATCTAATTTACCTGAGCATCTGACTAACTGGCAAACAGGTATAACTGACAGCAAACGGGTATTGGATTCTGCCCATTATAAACTCTCTAAAATTTAAAGAGGTTACTAATCATCTCTGCGCTTCAGTACATCTCAGGTATGTTTCAGGTATATCTCAGGAATGTTTCTTTGTTTATTGGTATAGATGCAGTTTCTGTAAACATTTATGGATATTTTAAAATATCTACATGATAAATACTTGTTAATGATTCTTCATCATAGAATACTGCAACTTTTTCACAATAGATTTGAAACAGACCAACACCTAAGTAACTATCTTTTTAGGGGAACAGAAAAAAAGCACTAAATATTCCCAGCCATCCAGAACATGTAGAATTCCATATAAATAATTCCATTTTTCTTGGTATAAAAACAAGTGGAAGTGTTAAGAAATAATTTGAAAAGATTACTGCTATGTAGCAATTTTAAAAATGATTAATGCTTTTTCCATATTCTTCAGTTCATGTTTCTATGAAATATCCTAGCAGTGGAAGCTACCCCCAATATCCTGTAGGTTAGTTCTGGTTCCACAGCCTCAGTTTTCAGGGAGCAAAAAAGTAGAAAATATTGTTTCTGTTTTAGAATGTTTAAAGTTTAGTGGGACATTAAAATTCAATTTGCTGTACTTCAGTGAAATATATGTGAGAATTATACATTTTAAATACTTATATCATATGCCAGACATGACACTAAGCACTGTGTCTCATTGTAATTAATGAGAAAACAGTTCTCAGAGCAGTTTAACTTTCTTGCCCAAGAGAACACAGCTAGAAAATGGTAGAACAGAGATTCAAACTAAACAGCACAATTTTAGAACCCATGATCTTTACCACCATATTATACAAGAGGAAATTAAAGAATTAAGTCATAAATAAAAAAAAAACAGTAATTTGTTAAACAATTAGGAAATTTTTCATCCTAAAAATTGAAAAGCGGAAGCGAGCTAGTCAAGCCAATGAAAAAAAAAGAGTGGCTTTAAACTAATAAACAGAAAACTATAGTATTAAAATATAAAATTCCTTTAACAGTTAAAAACATATTTTAAGCAGTTATTCTAATAAATATTTTTGTCTAATACATTTTCCAGCATTCAAGTCTAGAACTGAAATCCAAAATATATTTTAAATGATATTGCATAAAATCCATTAAAATACGAGTAATTTTCATAAAACGTCTCAGATTGCCCAATTTAGTTTATGATAATGATTAGAGAGCTGGGTGTCCTTTGACTTGTGAAAAGTCTTAGGAGGTTTCTTTAATTATGCAGTCTTCATTAAAAATCAGCAGGATTTTTTACAAATATCACAAATTTAAGATTAGAAGCTATGGTATAACTTAAAGCAGTATTTTTTTAACTCTCTACCTGATGGTGTATTTATGAATATATTTCATATCAGGTCACAAAATGAAGCTCTCTAGCTTTTCCATCCAACACGGGGACCAGGTATATTTGGATACATTCAATGACTGCCTAGTGCCTATTATCTACCAGTACAATTGAAGGAAAACGTGGCTCATGACTGTGAATAGTATTTGCTGAGAAAAAGAAAAACTTAAACTAAGGTCTAAATTCTGCATTTTTATTGCACCTATGGGTGCTTTATGAAGAACAAGAATTTGGCCTTGAAAGTTTGTTCCGAGGAGAAAAAAAATAGTTGAAGTTGGTAAACTTTATATAAATCAGGCTACTGTATATCAATGAAGGCATAATTTCATCAACTATACTTAATAATTTCTTTTAAATGTGGAGAAGGAAAAAGAAGAGGATGGAGTACAACACCAAACTTGGGTTATACCAAAGTATTATGCGTGAGACCAGGAAGGGAAATAATCACCTATCATTATAGCTAAGACTATTTTTTTCTTTCTATTTTTATTTTAT